>NT_187576.1:600000-900000 GCF_000001405.40 Homo sapiens
CTGTGTCTGGCTGGGCACAGTGGCTCATGCCTGTAATCCCAGCACTGTGGGAGGCCGAGGTGGGAGGATTGCTTGAGCCCAGGAGTTCAAGACCAGCCTGGGCAACATGGAGAACCCTCATCTCTATAAAATGAAAATAAAAATAAAAAGAACTACCTATGCAGAGGCTGCCCATCAAACCAATTGCACTGAGATTTCTCTGTGAGGGTCTCAGCATCTGTCCACATGTTTCTGAACCTCCTAGGGGTTCTTATTGTATTGAGAGTTGAGGATCACTGCTCTAGCAAGTGATATTTCTTTTCGTTAAAATTGAATACAGAGCCAATAATTTACTGAGAAATTGAAAACCAATGAATAAATAATTAAAATGACAATGATATAGGAAAGCTTTATGCTTTTTCACTTATCTAAATTCATGAAACTGTTTGGACATTGTATCTTTTGTTTTTTTTCTTTTTTGATTTTTGAGATGGAGTTGTGCTCTTGTTGCTCAGGCTGGAGTGCAATGGTGAAATTTTGGCTCACTGCAACCTCCACCTTCTGGATTCAAGCAATTCTCCTGCCTCAGCCTCCCTAGTAGCTGGGATTACAGGCACCCACCAACACGCCCGAATAATTTTTGTATTTTTACTAGAGACAGGGTTTCACTATGTTGGCCAGGCTGGTCTCAAACTCCTGACCTCAGGTGATCCACCCACCTCGGCCTCCCAAAGTGGCCACCATGCCCGGCCTTTTTTTCTTTTTTTAATTAAGCCTGATCAGAAACTTTGACACCCCCCTCTTGGCTTCTACGCCAGTGACTGCAGTCTGTGGCCACAAGGAGATGAACTGTCACTTCCCCTCCTCCCCAACCCCCTCCTCAAGTGCACTCAAGCAGAGCTACTCCCGTTTGCCCAAATAATTTTTGATTCCCTCTACCTCATTAATACAATGTTCCTGATTCTCTGAATTGCAGATGGGCAGACAAAATGTACCCAGGAAAAGTGACACCCTCCTATAAGAAAACATGTGGTGGGTTATCTCTGAGCCCCTGCTGTTAACGTTCTACACCAAATGCCCTTTCTAATGCTGGGAGTGTCCCTCAGGGCGGCCGCACCCCTCACCTCACTTCTGAGGCAGGGTTCTGAACACCTGCTGTTAACTTTCTACACCAAATGCCCTTTCTGACCTCAGGGTAGCCGCACCCCTCACCTCACTTCTGAGGCAGTGTCAGCACTCAACACCTTCTGCTGATTGTGTCATTTTGAATAAGAAGAGAAACAAAAACAACAAACGTGTTTCTTCTTTGTGAACCCCGAAAAGAGCATGCAGGCTCTGAGGTGGGTCATTGATAAGACAGCAGGTCATACCTGAAATCAAACAACCCTTTAAAGACACAAAGAACTCCAGAAACTGCACTTCCAATCTTGATTAAAAAAAAAGCCAAATTCTGTAAAATATTTGAAGAAGTTTATTCTGAGCCTAATCTAAGTGACCACAGCCTGTGACACAGCCTCAGGAGGTCCTGAGAACTGGTGTCCAAGGTGGCTGGGTTACCACTTGATTTTATACATTTGAGGGAGACAGAAGTTACAGACAAACGAATAAATCAATAAATGGAAGGTACACATTGGTTTGGTCCAGAAAGGAAAAATGTCTTGAAGCTGACAGGGGTGGGAGGGGTTGGTTACAGGTCACATGTGGATTCAAAGACTGAAAGAGTTAAGCTTTGCCTAAAAAGTTGCAATGGGTAGAATGAAATGCTTTAAGATTAAGGGTGTTGTGGAAGCCAAGGTTCTTGGTGTGTAGATGAAGCCTCCAGGTAGCAGCTTCAGAGAGAATAAATGGTAAATGTCTCTTATAGGACCCTAAAGGGTGTCAGACTCAGTCAAGTCTCTCCTGGATCAGAAAATGACCTAGAAAGGGATGGAGATTCTCTATAGAAGCCAAGTTTCCTCCACAAGAAATAGCTTTGTGGGGCTGTTTCAAAATATGCCAAATAAATATATTTTGGGGATAAAATACTCCGATTTCTTCAGGGCTTGCTATCTATTATGTGATGCTATACCAGAGTCAGGCTGGAACTGAGTATCTTATTGCTACCAAGAGTTGGTTTTGTCAGTCTTGGGTTCTCTGTTGTTTCATGTAAATGCTGGTCATTTGCACCTGAATTGCAATGGGAGAGGGTATAAGGAGGTGTGTCTGACCCCACTTTCCCGGCACGGCCTGAAATCATTTTTCAGGTTTCTTTCAGATCCCCTTGGCCAAGAGCAGGGCTCCATTCAGCCAACTGGGGCTTTAGAATTTTATTTCTGGCTTACACCAAATACCCAAACTTTGCATGAAACTTTTGAAAAGATCCCAAGTCTTTGCATTAAAATTCTAAAAAATGATATCAAAGAAGAATGGCGATGCTCCCAACACCTGCATAAAGCAAGCGGAGAAATCTGACACATAGATCAAGCATTTGATAAAAGGCCAAGATTTTTAATACATCATTACATATAAGGCAGTGTGAGAAGCGGGCAGAAGCTCGCTCGTCACCAGGCCTGGAAGAGTGTCATGGCGGACAAGGCTGGGGCAGTCACGGGGGAAAACAGTCCACAAGGAGGCGCCACAGGAGCAGCCGCTGAACCAGCAAAGCAAATCCCGTTGGGATCTACTCAGTTGTGATGTAAGTGCAGTTACAGGAGCGCTCATTAGCATAATACTGAGCAATAGAGCGGTGGACATGAGAAGTGAGACCCCAACCACAGGGAGAAATCAAAACCACTTCTGCCTCCACTGTGGGTGCTGCTGAAAACACGGAGGTTACAACACGCTGATCCTCTTGATTGCCGAACTGGATAAGATGTTTTCTGTTTTCCCTAAGGGATTTTTGCAGCTACTTGAAGACAACAGAAGCCTGTTGCTGTTGTTTTCTTTTAAATTGGGCATAGCTATTTGACACAGAGGACGCCATCACTGACAGTGGCTGGACGGGGCCCATGCACTGACGAAGGCGAGACCGCCTTTTTCCCCTGTGCAGACTTCTGCTGATGACTCCCAGAGACAGATGCTTGGTTAAGAGGCAAACTGCCTTTCAGATTTTAATGTTCAGGAAGGAGAGATAAACCCGTTGGAGTTTATAAATAAAGACCAGAATGGCTTTCTCATTTGCTGTGATAAACTTTTGAGATTTCTGCAACAGATGAAATCATGAGGTATTTGTCTTCACACGCAATGTTGTAGAAAATAACACTTTTTTTCTCCGTAGTGGTCTGGCTGATACTTTTCAATCTTAGAATTATGTCAGGAAGAAAGTTACAAGTAGGTGCTAATGATCTTCAACACCCCCTCCCTTTAATTCTTGCTAATTCCGTCATAACAAAGAAAATAAGTTCAACAGGAGAAGACCAACATCAGAGCTGCCCACAGGAGAGACACCAGATGAACGTGAAATGCAGCCCTGCACCCATTCACCTGGAGACGTCCAGGTTGGGCACTCAATGCGTGTGAGCCCAAGGGCTTCAAAAATCAATTAACCATGTGGTTTTCTTGTGCTAGGAGGCCACTCCACCTCCTCCACATTCTGGGCTTTACCTCCAACTGAAATCCACACTGCATAGAGTCTTCCTAGTTGTACAAAATAACTATTGCTTGCACAAGGCTGTGCAAAATTCTAAATGCTTTGTTCTATTTCCATAAATTACAATTAACATTTTATCTGTTTAGTAGTTTTATTTTTCTTCCCCCACCCCCTGCTCCCACTGTTTGGGGAAACTTTAGGAGAAAAAGAATGCAAAATGAACAATTACAAAAGACAGCTAACTCATATCAAGGAGAATGACTGTCTTTGTGGAAATTAAGTGCCTGTTTCTAAGTACCATGCATATTCATAGTGCTTATTTATGTCCTGATAATGGAAGTGTCATCTGCTGTGAATGCCCAAATTCATCCTCGTTTTCCAAACGAGTCCACGGTTGATGACGAAGGAACCCTGTGGTACATTCATCGTTGCTGCAGTGACACTTAACACCCCGGCCCTTTAGAGCTTTTGAACCACTTTCATTGAAATTGCAAACAAACTCAATTATCTTGTGATTTTAATTAGTACAAAAATAACCTATTTTGTTAACAAGAAAGAAACTGATTTTACAACAAAATTGGTCAGGTATATTTGAAAAACTAGCACAATGAGGTAACTGCAGAGAGAAATACTACCCTGCATGGCACCAGGCCCAAGAGGGGGCTTAATAAATATTATTTCATGCTGATGCTGATAAGGGTAACACTTCATAAGGCAAAGGAAACAATCTTGGGCCACTGCTATCATTAGATTTTCTGATGGATGCCTACTCTCTTCCTGTTTTTCAAGAAACTTAGAATTGAGCTGAGGCATTTTGGATACAAATGACAATAACACAGCTCAAAGGCTGTGCCTGTTGTGTTGCATTCATTTTTGCAGAACATGGTGAAAAGGAGATCGTAAATCTGGATTTCATCACTGAACTCATGTTTAGAATCCCATGCAACTCCTGAGAATTCTGCTACAAAACACTTCTGCCAGAGATATTTGCTGAGGAGAGAATCATGCCCACATGGAATTCCTTGCAACTGGCCTCATGAGACAGTTCTTGTCCATATTGAAAATGAAGTGGCCAGCACAAGGCACAGCCTCTTACTTGGAATATGTTCTATGCAACAAATTCGTCTTTAGAGTGGATATTAATATTGCATTAAACACTATTACAGCCATTGTAATTTTTGTAGCAATACAGTGAATATAAAATGACAGTTACTCCATTAACTATGAAGCACTTTTTTATGAAGGTCTGCTGGTGAGTGTGTGTGGGAGTGTGTGCATGTGTAGGTGCATGTACATGTGTACATGTTTACTCATTTAAATCCTCCCCCTGTTGTGTTAGAGATCATTGATTACCATGCACTTCCTCCCCTCCCCCCACCACTCTGTCCATCTGAAAACACCAGCAGTCACAAGAGGGCTTTCATACAAAGAGAGTTGGGGAGGTGGACATTTGCCAACAGAGGTCTTCTACATCTAGGAGAGTGCTGGAGGTCCATTTGCACAACCAAGTGATATGCTGGGTGGAGTCATAAAAAAGAGAACGACCAGAACTTCAAATGAATGCGAACCTTTGATCATGATAAATACCATACAATGATGCTTGCTTGGAATGTGTCACAGAAATGATGAAGCAAAATACCACTCACCTAGCGATTTTAGAAATGCTAATTGATGTCATAATCTTTGACTTTGAACAGTTGTTTATAAACTGAATTTCTGGCTTTTCTAAATACCTAGAATTCTACACACCCCGCCCACCTTTGAGGTTTGTTTAAATACAGATGGCTGCTGTAGACAGAGAAACCAGCTCAGAAGAGTGTGGTTGTGCTATGATCTCTGAAAATTACTGCACTGTCTGTTAACAGTGCATAATCAGGTTCACCATTATAAAAAGGGGACTTAGTTCAGTCTTACTTTATGCAGGGAATTATACTGGGGCTTTAAATTATTAATATATTAAGGTATATACAAAGATAATATATACAAGAGATGTTGAATTACCAACCAAAGACCACATTGGGGCAAGGTACATTGGGTATCAATCACAAAAGAGCAGGGACTGTGCCTCTTTCTTCGACAGTCCTCCTACATCTGTTTCATGTCCTATTATACAGCTGGAAAAAGCTGCTGAATTAAACTGGACTTGCAGCCCCAGAGCGTGACGTCACATCCAAGAGGCCATCAGTAGCAGGTCTTTGTTGAGCTGCTGAAAAGGAATTCTCCTGTAACTGGAAGCAAGTATGAGAAATTTCCCCAGTTCCTTCCCACGCTACAGCATCACATATGGGAAAAGCTAACATCAAGAATGGCCTGGGATGTGCAGAATCTTCCAGTTCTTCATCCTCAGTGCCTGACTGTCGACAGTCCCACAGATTCACAGCCATGGGTGCAGGGGAAGCTTACTCTTTTTTGAACATAGGTTAGAAAAGCAGGAGCACATTTCTAAACAACTGGCTCCTTTCCAAAATGCATTAAGGCCAGAAGAATGCAAAGTATGAAGTCAAGAAAAACTCTAGCCCAACTGAGATCATCTGTGACATTCTTTAGAAGAGTTAGAGGGACATCCATGTTAAATGGAACAAAAACATTAAGTAAGAGATCCATCAATCCCACTTCTGGGTGTTAAAGATTTGAAATCAATGGGTCCAAGAGATATCTGCACTCCTAAGTTCATTGCAGCATGATTCACAATAGCCAAGTTATGAAATCAGTCTAAGTGTCCATTAAGGGACAAATGGATAAGGAAACTGTAGTTTATACACACAATGGAGTATTATCCAGCCCCTAAAAAGAAAAGAAATTCTGTTATTTGTGACAACATGGATGGAATTGTAGAACATTATGCTGAGTGAAATAAGCCAAACGCAGAAAGACAAGCACAGCATATCCTCACTTACTTGTGGAATTAAAACAATTGAACTCGGAGCAGCAGAGAGGGGAATGGTGGCTGCAGAGGCTGACGCCTGGGAAAACACAGACATGACAGTCAAAGGCACAAAGCTTCAGTGAGATCGGAGGAAAAGTCTGATATTTTTTAGATCCATAGCACAGCATGCTGAATACATTCTACATTGTCTATAAAGCGCATAACACCACTTTTTACCCATAAGTACATACAACTATAATTCGTCAATATACAACACAAATTTGTTTTTAAATATTAAACACTAAGAGCTCTTTCCAACCTTTTCCTTGTAATCACCAAAAGTCAGGCTGAATTGCTTCATGGTTGTAAGGCACTCTCACATTTACTATTGCATTGGGAAATTAAAGAGCACAGAAGGGGCTCCTTCATTTAATTTCTCAACAGATTTGTCGTAGTAGGGAGCAACGTCTATAAAGATGGTACACTATCAGAAATGTCTTCAGAACGTCCTGAACAAACGTGACCTTCAGAAGTCATTGATGAAAGTATGCTGCCCTAAATCCTTAATCCAGAAGCTGGGTGGGAGTGGAGCATCTCCTTGGGATCAGGGGTGTCCGGGTGGGAGAGGAGCACCTCCTTGGGATTTTCTCTGCCTCATTTCTCAAGGGGGCACAAATGGAAGTTTCACAATTGGAGCCACTGTTAAATAAAGAAATGGAGGAGAAGGAAGTGGAGGAGGAGAGGGAAATGGGGAAGAAGAATTGACTGAAGACAGAATAGTTGGAATACCCTTGAGAAAGCAATATTTATTTCCACAGGAGTTATTTTAGTCAAAACTATGTTTGAACCAATTGCTCATTGAGTAGGTATCAGACGTTGTGTCAAACACTTTCCTGGGCCAGGCGCAGTGACTCACACCTGTAATCTCAGCACTTTGGGAGGCCCAGGCGGGTGGATCACTTAAGGCCAGGAGTTGAGGATCCACCTAGGCAACATAGTAAGACCCCATCTCTACAAAACATATGAAAATTAGCAGGACTTGGAGGTGTGCACCTGTGGTCCCTGTTTGTTGGGAGGCTGAGGTGAGAGGATTCCTTGAGCCTAGGAGTTCGAGGCTGCAGTGAGCAATGATTGTGCCACTACATTCCAGCCTGAGTGACAGAATGAGACCCTGTCTCCAAAAAATAAAAAACACTTTCCTATATCTTGTCTCACTAAATCCAACATACCAAACAATTCTCCAGAGGACACCAGCTGGGTGTCCTGTAATTCAACTTCACTCTGACCCTGTCTACCTAGAGAGAGGATCAGATCCCACGGGTTAAAGGACCCTGTCCCATAAGACGGTCCCCACGTCAGATACCAGCCACCACGCTTCTGACTGAATGGCCGCAAATCGGGCTCCCAGCACCCCCTTCTTGAGGTCAATTCATTTGCTAGAGCAGCTCACAGAACTCAGCAAAACACTATACTTACATTTGATGGTTTGTTAATAAGGTTATAATAAAGGACACAGAAGAACAGGCAGATGAAGCGATGGAGAGAGCGGGGTCTTGAAGGTCCCAAGCACAGGAGCATCTGGCCCCATGGAGTTGGGGTGCTCCACCCTCCTGCCATGCAGCTGTGCTCAGCAGCTTCTTAAGTGTTTTTATTTGGTTTTCTTTGTTTCTTTATTTTTTGAGACAGGGACTTTCTGTGTCACCCAGGATGTAGTGTAGTGACACGATCATAACTCACTGCAGTGCCAACCTCTTGGGCTCGAGTGACCCTCCCACTTTAGCTTCTGGAACTATAGGTGTGCAATAGGTGGCTTTTTTTTTTTAAAGTTTTTGTAGAACTGGGGTCTCACTATGTTGCCCCGGCTGGTCTTGAACTCCTAGACTCAAGCGATCCTCTTGCCTCAACCTCCCAAAGTGCTGGTATTAAAGGCATGAGCCACCACATCCAGCTAATTTTTGTTTGTTTGTTTGTTTGTAGAGATGGGGTCTCTCCATATTGCCCAGGCTTGAAAACTCCAAACTTCTAATCACGGCTTGGTCTTTCTGGTGACCAGGCCCATCTAGGAGCCACCAAGAGTTGCTTCATGAGAACAAAAGACGTTCCTCTCACTCAGAAAATTCCGAGGGTTGTAGAGCTCTGTGCCAGGAACTGGGGGGCAGAGATCAAGTATAGATTTCTTATTGTATCACAGTATCACAGCAGCCCTCTGGGGTCCCTTCTATAAGGGCACTAATCCCACGACCTAATCACCCCCAAGTCCCTCTCCTAGTACCATCACTTTGGTGATTAAGATTCAACATGGAATCTGGGGGTGACACAAACCCTCAGACCATAGCAAGTTGTCACCATCTTATTAATGTATTTTAAATGTTAACATTTTGTCACGCTCCAAACATTTTGCTCTGTTGGCTCCCTGATGGGAAAGCCCATGCTTGGGGACCCTCCCCCAGCTCTTCCTGTGCCCATGTCCCGCTGGGGACCCTGTCACATCCACACTGCCAAGACTCTGGGGGGCCGAGTCTTCCAAGAGCTGGGCAGAACAAAAGCACATCGGACTCAAGAATGGGGAGTCAGTCCCTGGGCCCGGCACTCACAGCGCCCTCTGTCCTCGTCTCCTTTACTGCTCAGGTCATCCAGCTGTCCCCAGAGCGCATGCCCTCTTCGAGGACAAGACCCCCACTATAGACCCTAGGCCAAACTGAACAAGTGCTTTTCATATGGATACAGATTTATGTTACTTACTCTAAAATTGTTTAGAGCTCATGATTTGTTATAGTTTTTTTTTTTTTTTTTGTCTTTTTTGAGGTGGAGTCTTGCTCTGTTGCCCAGGCTGGAGTGCAGATGCCTGATCTCGGCTCACTGCAACCTCCACCTCCTGGGTTCAAGCAATTCTCCTGCCTCAGTCTCCCAAGTAGCTGGGACTACAGGCACCGGCCACCATGACTGGTTAATTTTTGTATTTTTTTTTAGTAGAGACAGGGTCTTACTATGTTGCCCAGGTGGATCCTGAACTCCTGGCCTCAAGTAATCCACCTGCCTGGGCCTCCCAAAGTGCTGAGATTATAGGCGTGAGCCACCATGCCCGGCCTTAAGTATTTTTTACAAGTACAATGACAATAATGAAATTTTACCTGGGATTTCACCTGAGAATTCTCCAAAAGTGTACTGCCTCTTTTCCCTTATTTCTTAGAGTGGGGATGACACCCTCACGTTATGTTATACAGCGGTGAGTAAGATGTGCTTCATTGTTAGGATGGAGTGGTATTCAGTACATATCATTTATTTTCTTATTTTTGTTTTTTGAGACAGGGTCTCGCTCTGTTGCCCAGGCTGGAGTGTAGTGGCACCATCACACCTCAATGAAGCCTCAACCTCCTGGGCTCAAGCTATCCTTCCTCCTCAGCCTCCTGAGTAGCTGAGACTACGGACGAGTGCCACCACGCCCAGCTAATTTTTGTATTTTTTGTAAAGGTGAAGTGTGTTTTTTTTTTTTTTTTTTTTGACAGAGTGTTGCTTGTCACCAAGGCTGGAGTGCAGGGGTGCAATCTTGGCTCACCACAACCTTCGCCTCCTGGGTTCAAACGATTATCATGCCTCAGCCTCCCGAGTAGCTGGGATTACAGGTGTGTGCCACCACACGCAGCTGGTTTTTGTACTTTTAGTAGAGATGGGGTTTAACCATGTTGGTCAGGCTGGTCAAAACTCCTGATCTCAGGTGATCCATCCGCCTCGGCCTCCCACAGTGCTGGGGTTACACCCATGAGCCAACACGCCCGGCCAGACAGGCCATTTCCATGATGCCCAGGCTGGCCTTGAACCCCTGGGTTCGAGCAAACTGCCAGCCTCAGTCTCCCAATGTCCTAGGATTACAGGCGTGAGCCACTGCTCCCAGCCAGTATACGTAATTTAAATGTTTTACAATTAATTATTTAAATTAAATGACTTAAACAAAATTATTCGAATGATGTAAACACCCTAGAAATAAATCCGGGTATTAAGAAGGAAGAATCACGTTCCAAGGGAAAAGGAGCTAATATTAATCCAAAACATTTGGTGCACTATACATAGTTATTTAGTATATTTACTAAATGTAGTGTGTATAAATAGTCACCAGATAGGTAGGTAAAGACAGCAAGGGAGATTGAATTAACATTACTTTTAGAAGTCAACCGGAGCTACTCAGGAAAGGCCCAGCACTAACATAAAGGGATGAATCGGCCAGGCTGGCCAGTAGGGGATAGCGAAGACTGTGGCAAAACCAAGTGTATGCCTAGCCAACATCATGTTCAGGTTACTTCTCAAACCAGCCAGCACCTAAACCACACGCCTCTGTGGGCTGACAATACATATTTGGGCCAGATGAGGCCTGCAGACGGTCAGCCCCTAAAGAGATGTCTGGTGAGGAAGCTATTTTGAGCTGAGACTGGACAGCTGAGAAGTGTTAGGGACTCATTAACACTTCCCAACCTAAACAACAGTTTAATTCAAGCTGGACAGAGCTGAGACATGGGCAGGCCTGGAGCAGAGTGAATGAGAGATGGAGAAAAGGCTGTTTATAACAATTAAGGTAGAACCCACAGAAGCATTTATAAGCTTTGGAAATAAGGGTTTTAAAACTATTGCCCTGGTAGGTACTTTTTACATCATGTAAGTAAACCCTAAAATGGCCAACATATCTAGGTTTAAAGAGCAATATTAAAAAAGCTTATTTTCTCCATTTTCCCTGCAAGAGATAATCCTAAACATCCATTGTATCAAGCTAGTCAGTCTCTACCTTGAACGTGGTTGCAACTGTAGGTGGCACAGATAACGACGTTTGGAAGAATTAAGTGATTTTGTATTAAAAAGCCCTTATTTCTGAATATATATGGGATATTTTGGAAAGAGGTATACACATGGATTTCTTTTTAATTGGAGATTAGATGTTTAATCATACTCTCAAAATGATCCATGTAGACCAAAATGTGAAGTTGTGCTGGTCTATAGCGGTGTTTTCCAGCTCTGGATCTCCCTGCAACAGCAGCCTCAAGACCCGTGAGTTAATCAGAAACAGAACGAGCGGATCCACCCGCCCAGCGAATCAGCCTCTGTGGGGCGAGGCCGGGGGCTGAGGACAGGCTCTCCAGGTGAGTGACCCAACGCGGCTAAAATATATGACCTGCGGTCCTGGCTGCACATCCTCAGAGACTTCTCAGTGAAGTAATTTGGTACAGATTTTAGGAAAAGATATTTACGTTGTCTTTACTAACCAGAACCAGTTTAAATACAGTCTTTTAGAAGGAGAGGAAACAGAATCCATCCTATTTTTCCAGAGGTAACTTTTGTGTGTGTGTGACTCACATCTGTTTTCTGTTTCCCATTCGGAAAGTGTCTCCAGGGAAGTGGCCTGCACCCTATGAGCATGTCCACTAACCAAATGAACGAGAGGTATTCAATCACTTAGGTTAGTTAAAGTCTGTGTGATTCCCCAAGGTTTAGCTCACGGGTGAAAGGGCACATGCTTTCAATGAGATCTAAAGTTTTTGGCAAGTTGATCGTAAGCCCGAGAGACCCCATGGTTCAAACGCAAGCACATGTGTAGGGCACACACATACACGTAGCTGTGGAAGCTTCGTGGATGCACTTTCTCCATCTGCATTTTCCGGAATTTCCCTGCATCACATAGTGAAGGGGAAACCAGATGTGCAGAAAAGGTTCTCCTCGGGAGGCGAAGGCAAACAGAGCTGTCCTGTTTGCTCCCCACTGAAGCCACTTACACATAACTCTGTAGTCCATAGTCAACAAGATGACTCCAAGGGGAAGGAGGGAGGAGGAAAGGAAAAAGTCAAGGCAGAGGAGATTAGCTTGGCAACACACAGCCGAGCATCCATCCATATTCTGTATCATATTATCCCGCCTGCTACACAAGTACCTCACAGCAGATAGCACTGACTGCCTGACTACACACGCCAGGGGCATGTTGCTGGATAGCTGTGCTTTTTCTCCATGTCTGCTTACATTTAATCTTCAAATCACTTATACACAGATTTATATACACAAATGCACATATACACATATACATAAACACACCTGTGCAGGTATACACACAAGGACGTATACATGATAAAGTCTAGTTGAACTACATTAATCATGGGTACATGCATGTACATACATGCACACATAAGTACATGCTAGAATCCACTTATGCTGATTACATTAATCATGGGTGTATTAGTCCGTTTCCACACTGCTATAAAAAATGCCCGAGACTCGGTAATTTATAAAGGAAGATGGTTTATTTGACTCATAGTTCCACATGGCTGGGGAGGCCTCAGGAAACTTACAATCATGGCAGAAGGTGAAAGGGAAGCAAGGCACCTTACTCACAGGGTGGCAGGAGAGAGAAATGCAAGCAGGGGAAATGCTAGACGCTCATGAAATCACCAGATCTCATGAGACTCACTCATCATCACAAGAACAGCATGGCGGAAACCACCTCCACGATCCAATCACCTCCCTCCCTCGGCATGTGGGGATTGCAATTCAAGATGAAATTTGAGTGGGCCACAGAGCTAAACCATATCAATGGGTATATGTGAGTACATAGACACACACACACACACACACACACACACACACACACACATGCACAGACATGCTAGAGTCCAGCTACACTGATTACATTAATACATTAATCACGGGTGTATGCGTGTGTGTGTATATATACATATATATATATATGTATATATACACACACTATGACATGCTAGAGTCCAGTTACACTGATTACATTGACCATGGGTGTACGCGTGTACATATATACATACACAAGGACATGCTAGAGTCTAATTACACTGATTATATTAACCATGGTGTATGCCTGTACATATATATACACACACAAGGACAAACTAGAATCTAGTTACACTGATTATATTAACCATGGTGTATTCCTGTACATAGATACAAACACAAGGACATGCTAGAATCTAGTTACACTGATTATATTAAGCATGGTGTATTCCTGTACATAGATACACACACAAGGACGTGCTAGGGTCCAGTGACACTGATCACATTAATCAAGCTTCAACGCACCCTCTAAAGTCAGTATTACCCACACCAAATGTTAAATGTCATATTTCAACAATATAACAAAATTCTCAGACAAAATGTATCCAAACCTCAAAACCATGCTCTTTCCACACAAAGTACTACCTCCTCTGTGGATACCCTTGATATACTTTATATTCTTTTTTTTTTTTTTCCATTTCAGGGTTAATTATACTTGTTAGGCACATTTTTACTTTTTGTTAAACATAAAAATGTTTGTAAATAGATAAAAATTTAAATTTCAGAAAGCTACTCCTGCCTGGACGAGGCTATCTGAAGCACACATGGATCGTTGGCGGGTTCCAAAGGGCAGTATTTGGGGCAAATGGAATAAACTCTCTAAGCTAGTTCAGCCTGAGCTGGTGGTGTGGAGTAAGACTTTGGGAAATGTGAGGGACGTCCCCTACAGGGAGCAGGATAGACAGATGTAGGGAGCAGAGGGAGGACATCACAGCAGATCCAGAGGCTGATGTTGTCTTGTAATGAAATAAAACTGGAGACGGACTAGGGGCTTCAAATCAACGAAGAGGAGCCTGAGATGAAGACTCATGGTATGAAATTTGGGAGAAAACAGCAAAAGGCCAGTTGAGGACGCATTCCACAACCACGTGCCCAGTGGCATGGAAGAGCAGATGTCTGAGGTCATGGCATTCTCCCTCTGCACCACCCCAAAGGCCTGCTGCCACAACTGATGCATTCTCTCTCCACCCCCGCAGACATCACCAGTACATTCCTGACAAAAAGCAATATATTTTTACTCTGCAGATGACAAATGTCTCCACTGCCATTTTCTCGCTGTTTTCACGCGTACAGAGACCCACAAGCCCGCCAAATGAGGACGGCTGGAAAGATTTTCCTCTGCAGATTAGAAATTAAGTCTTGGGTTTCTTTTGTAATAGGCAGGCACAGCCACATTACCATTGTATTTGGCTTTTGCGGGAGGTTAAAGTTATTGACAATGAACTGTTTAAACATGTGTGCAAGCTGCTTTATGGAGCGCCTTTAACGAGAAAGGATGGAGAGGGAGCCTGTGCGAAAGCCGCCCTTACAGATTAGGAGAATCAGAAAACCTACGTCACCCCATGGCATTCACTGCAAGTGAGGCCCAGCGCGATGGTAGGGAGAGAGTTTTCCATTTTAAAGTTAGTTAAGGAAGAAGAATCATGACTTTTTCGGCAAATCTGAATTTTTAGAGAGGTAAGCCTCCTCACTGGAAGGACCCAGGATGGATGATGTTTCTAAGAAGGGTTTCCCTGGGGCCTTCTCACTTCACGCCAGCCTCCCCATTCAAGCCAGGGCCTGCCTGAGCAATGCAGGACCTCAGAAGCAGAGAAGCCCCTCCATGCCACAAACCCCATGCCCTCATTAGAGAAACGGACAAACCCCATGCCCTCGTTAGAGACATGGGCAGCATCCCTTGCGCACGCTAGTCAAAGCTCCAAAATACTTTAAACATGGGGACCAAGACCAACAGACAACAAGGAGATGCTATCACCCAATGGGCTCCTTAAAGGATCCTCCTCCACTTCCCATGGAAATACTAAGACACCTGTCCTCCCACTGTCATCCGTGAAGTGCCATGTTTGTTTTAGGGGTGAAGAAACTGAAGCCAGGAAAGGTCCTGCCACCTTACTGAGTGGTTGCTTACGGAGAGAATCTCAGATCTTCCGATGGGTCCAGGGGCTGCTGTGTCCTGAATGCTTCAGCCCTTGATACCTAGTGTACGGGAAAGGTCGGACCAAATAGAGAGCACCCTGCCCCGCCCATAACAGAATATATAAAACATCTCCAAGTTTAGGAAAGCTGCCTGGAAGACGAGCCTCACGCATCAAATGACAGCCGGCAGCTCTGTCACATCCCAGACCCAATACAATGCCCAGCTTGTGTCAGCAGCTTGCAGAAGTGTGTGGATGGGACTCCAAATGGTTCGTACCAAGGAGAGAAAAGCATCTGAGGTTTCCAAAAAATATTTCCTTATCTTCAAATATGTTTGCTTTTGGTTTTTTTTTTTTGTTTTTTTTTTGAGACAGTGTCTCACTCTGTCGCCCAGGCTGGAGTGCAGTGACGCAATCTCGGCTCACTGCAAGCTCCACCTCCCAGGTTCACCCCATTCTCCTGCCTCAGCCTCCCAAGTAGCTGGGACTACAGGCGCCCGCCCCCACGCCCAGCTAATTTCTTGTATTTTTAGTAGAGACAGGGTTTCACAGTGTTAGCCAGGATGGTCTCGATCTCCTGACCTCGTGATCTGCCTACCTCGGCCTCCCAAAGTGCTGGGATTACAGGCGTGAGCCACAGTGCCCGGCCCAAACATGGTTTTTAAGAAAATTGGTTTAATGCAATTATCAGTGTGATGTCTGGGAATCTGAGATTGCCATGGACACACACAGACACATGCTCATATGCACACTCATACACACAGATATGTGAAAACACACACCACACTCACACACACTCATGTACGTTGCTGGAATGGGCATCTGCTTTATTTGCATTGAGGAACTCTCTTACACTGAAAAAGGCTGAAGAAAAGAAATTACAACAAAACATATATATTCCTAGATTTTACTGTAGCTTTGTACATAGTAGAGTTGTTACCACTGGAAATGTCCCAGCTACATAGCATTTGCACTTTACATTGGACACACAGATCTTTCTCTGCAAAAGAATGATGACTTAATTAACAAGGGTGATAAATTTACCAAAGTTTGTATTTGTGTCACCTCAAAATCTAGGTCTTGATGGATCCCTTTGAAGTTGTCTGCTCAATTAATAAGCAAAACTAGGCACACAAGATTCAGAATGCCATTGTGAAGCCATGTGCCCTACAAAAGTTCAAGCTCATTTGCAGCTTAGAATAGAGAAAGAAAATTGAAGGCGTATCTCTGCAAATTGGCAACACCCCTTCTAGAATTTAGGATATGTCCTTTAATACGAAGAAACTGGCAGTTGCGACGCTCCCCATCAACATGAAATTCAGTGAAACACAGGCTGTCTCAGGGCAGCAAGGCGACACCACCGAGGCATCCCAACCCTGTTAACCATTTGTGGAAACTGCTAGGCTGTTACCATCCACATGGCGAAGCGACCCTGCCGAGAGCATCCCTGACTCAAAGGCTGGGGGAGGCCTGGCCCAGAACACCTGCTGCTGATGCTTTAACCCGTCTGTTCGGTTGTGTTGTTCAGGGATGAAGACCCACAGGTTTTTTAATTATTGAATTCTGCATCTGACGGCGTTGATTCATAATGAAAAACAGCCAGCACGCCTTCAGTGCCTCCACCAAGCTCTCTGCTGCGTGCTGGAGGCGCTTTACCTGGTAAATCCTCAACATACCTCATGAGAGAGGTCACTTTACTCCCCCAGTCCTACAGAAAGCCCTCTGCTGCCTTCTGGAGGCGCTTTGCCTGATAAATTTTTGCAATAACTTATGAATGAGGTCACATTACTTTTCCACCCATAGAGGAAGCACTTAGCTGTATTCCAGAGATGCTGGTAAATCCTCCCAGTACCCCATGAGTTAGATCGCATTACTCCCCCAGACCTACAGCAAGCCCTCTGCTGCATTCTGGAGGCGCTTTGCCTGGTAGATCCTCCCAACACCCCACGAGGTCGCATTACTCCCCCAGACCTACAGCAAGCCCTCTGCTGCCTTCTGGAGGCGCTTTGCCTGGTAGATCCTCCCAACACCCCACGAGGTCACATTACTCCCCCAGACCTACAGAAAGCCCTCTGCTGCCTTCTGGAGGCGCTTTACCTGGTAGATCCTCCCAACACCCCACGAGGTCGCATTACTCCCCCAGACCTACAGCAAGCCCTCTGCTGCCTTCTGGAGGCGCTTTGCCTGGTAGATCCTCCCAACACCCCACGAGGTCACACTGCTCCCCCAGACCTACAGCAAGCCCTCTGCTGCCTTCTGGAGGCGCTTTGCCTGGTAGATCCTCCCAACACCCCACGAGGTCACATTACTCCCCCAGACCTACAGCAAGCCCTCTGCTGCCTTCTGGAGGCGCTTTGCCTGGTAGATCCTCCCAACACCCCACGAGGTCACACTGCTCCCCCAGACCTACAGCAAGCCCTCTGCTGCCTTCTGGAGGCGCTTTGCCTGGTAGATCCTCCCAACACCCCACGAGGTCACATTACTCCCCCAGACCTACAGCAAGCCCTCTGCTGCCTTCTGGAGGCGCTTTACCTGGTAGATCCTCGTCACACCTTGTGAATGGGGTCACATTTCTCCCCCAGTCTTACAGCAAGTGCTCTGTCGCATTTTGGAGGCTCTTTGCCTGGTAAATCCTCGCGAGAGCTCGTGAGTGAGGTCACGTGACTCCCCTAGTCCTACAGCAGGCTAAATTGAGGCTTAAAGTCTCTTCCCCAAAGCAAAGAAATTAGGATTTAAATCAAAATTGAAGTTCCCAGAAGACATCTTCAAGAACCACGCAATCAGAGAAGGGTCCAAGAACCATGAAATAAACCCAGACACCTCTGAGATGATTGGTCGGGGATAGGTCACGGTCTCAAGGCATCAACTTTTGAAGAAGTTTTGCCAAGAGGAGAAAGGGGGGAAAATATCTCTTTAAAAAAAAAAGTCACTTAAAAAAATTTTTAAGACGAGGATACCTGAAAACAATAAGAGCAGAGGGAGCTATTCATGATGAGAACATCTGAGGCTAATTATTCACTCAGGTCTACACCTGCAGGTGCCATCTAGTTTAATGCTATTTAAAGTGTCTCTTCTTTTAGTCAAGATATGATGCAACTCAATGGATGCAGAAGGTTGTACCAGGCAAGCTCACTCTTCGTTTGAAGAAGTGGTGGCTGAGGTTAGAGTTCGTCTTTCCCCTGCAATTAGAATTCTTCAAACACGTTACATAAAAAAGCAAAATTTTTTTTTTTTTTTTAAGGCAGAGTCTTGCTCTGTCACTCAGGCTGGAGTGCAGTGGTGCAAGCTCAGCTCACTGCAACCTCCACCTCCCAGGTTCCAGCGATTTCCTGCCTCAGCCTCCCGAGTAGCTGGGATTACAGGCACCCACCACCACACCCTGCTAATTTTTTGTATTTTTAGTAGAGACGGGGTTTCACTGTCTTGGCCAGGCTGGTCTCAAACTCCTAACTTCAAGTGATCCACCAGTCTTGGCCTCCCAAAGTGCTGGGATTACAGGCGTGAGCCACCACGCCTGGCCCGCAAAATTCTTTCAAAAGTTGTTTTGGAACAAACGACCTCAAAATTGAAGCAGAAACACGTGTTGTTTTTCTTACTAACTTAGACAAGATAAAGGAGCAGTGGATGGAAGCAGGAGCTCTGAGGCTGAAGAATAAAGGACAAGGTGTGGTGTGAACTAACTTGGGGGAGTCCTGTATAGTTCTGGAGTTTATTGATGAATCCTCCTATCCCGATTAAGAAAATACAACCGATAGACACTCTGATCCTGATGGCTACCACCAACTGTGGTAAAGCTACATCTTCAGCATCGACTGCCATCAGAACAAAACCCTGACGTGGTCTCAATGCCGAAGGCTACACATGCACGCGAGCTCAGAGGCCACCACTCTACCTCAGAATCCACTGTGAGGCAAAACCAAAGGCGAGTTTCACTGGAATTTCTTCATTTGAGTTCATGTTTCAAGAAGTGGCCACCCCTCTATTTTCTGAAAAATGTGAGACACTTTTCTTTGTAAAATTGCATGTAAGTATGTTTCTGTGATGGCTATGATGACAATTTAAGGCAAGTAATGATATGCAAAATTAAGTGTATTTTATATTTAAGAATATTGCATCTGATTCTTAAAGTGGCTAGCACTATGGAAATATTAAGAAGAGAGCTTGGCTGAGGGCTCAATATTAAATATCAGGGTTATCTGCAGGAGACAGGCAAAGGGAGAGAAGCTATTCCAAATGTCCTCTTACCCAGAAGACTTCAAATGTCCTCCTACACAAAAGACTCCAAATGGCCTCTTACCCAGAAGACTCCAAATGTCCTCCTACCCAGAAGACTCCAAATGTCCTCTTACCCAGAAGATTCCAAATGTCTTCCTACCTGGAAGACTCCAAGTATCCTCTTACTGAGACCGTTTTATTCTTTCTCAATTATCTCTGACCACTGCAAACTCTTCAAGGAGCTGATCAATACAAATGCCTTCAGAAGCTTCAGGGTGGAGTACACCACGACTTCACCACACATTTAAAAGGAAGCCATTGGGATAAGAATTCATCTACTTGAACTTTTTTATTCAGCCTAATTCTCAGAAATTTATATTCACCATGAGATTTGTAAAATACTTATAAGCAGCATGCAGAATGTGTACAATTACACCCTATGTGTGGCTCTGATCAAGGGCGAGCGTGCAGGAGAGTGGCCATAGCAAAGTCTTAGAAAATCACAATCTCCACGTTTGCTCCTTATCCCCACCCCTAGGTACACTTCTTCTTTGAATCCTCTTTTCCTAAGGAAAGATGTTAAATTCCACAATTAAGTCATTCCCATTAAGCTGTAGAATCATTAAGTAGAGTTCAAGTTAATCTTTTGTCTCTATGTTGAGGCATAGAACAGGGAACGTTTCATTCTTTGGGGACAATAATAATTATACGTTAAACATTTTTAAATAGGATATATTGTATTGACTCACAATGCATGATCAGATTTTTAAAAATTATTTCTCTCTGAGAGAAAAGAACTTTAAGCCTCTCAAGAGTTAATCAATTCATACACGTAAACTGCAGCGTGCTAATTCTCCATGGCGATCCCTCTGTCTTCCTGTGTCCCCCTCACTCTTTCTCACTCTGTCTCCCTCCCTCCACACCTCACCCCTAGACTCTTGCTACCCAAGGCAGAGCATGCAGCAGCAGCAGCAGCATCACCTAGGAGCAGGTGAGTTGGAAATACAGATTCTCAAGCCCCACCCAAACTTGCTGAATCCGAGCACGCACTTGGCAAGGCCCGCAGAGGATTTTCGTGGGCATTACTATTTAAGAAGCAGTGTTGTAGACTACATATTTTTCACCCTTTTGCTAGGTCCCGAGCTACCCACAATCTGCAAAATCAAAGGGGAGACGGCGGCGGACGTGCAGAGCCTCCGAGAGCCGGGTGAGGGCGCTGTCCCCGCGTCTGAGGCTTCCTGGAGCTGAAGCCAGTGGTTTCCACCCCCGAGGTGCCACCGTTTCCGGCCCAGGAACGCTGAGACCTTCGCACTCCCCTCGCGTCACAGCCAAGTGTAACTGTAAGAAGCAGTGAGTCCGGAAACGAACAGCCAGGCCTTGGAAGCCTCTCACATGTGTGGGAACGTCCGCCTTTGCTACAGGCGTGATTTTTCATATGACTCAGTACAAGGGAGGGGACACGCGACATCCCTTAATCCTTCACTAAACCCAAAGTTAGGGTTCTTGCCTGTAGATTTCCACAGAATATAGCACCAAGAACGTTCTCTATGTCTGGATGGAGGACAATGTCATCAGCGGGCCACTGGGACCACCTCAGCCCCAGGCAAGGCCCAAGCCTGCCTGCTCCAGCCGCCCGTGGTCCTCCGCAGCCAGGACCTGCTTTCTGGGCTGGCTTCACCCCCCACCACTTCCACAGCCCAGCGGTGCCCTCCAGGCTCCACCGTCACATCGCATGTGTGTTCCCTGCGCTGCTGAGGGACAGCTCACTGGGTCTTCCTGTTTCAAATTCTTGGGGACTCTGTACTTGAGGCTGGGGGTGCCAGCAGCTGAGGAGGGGAGGGCTTTCCGAAAGCCCGTCTGCCTGGAGGCTGTCTGCGTGTCACTTCTGTGTCCGTGTGCATCCTCACAAGGACATTCATTTTTAAGTTTTCACGTTAGCTTCGTGCTGCGAAACTTATTATTTTGAAGAGAAAATATCTTAGATCCCTTATGAACTTTTAAGAAAACAGTCCTTATTCATAAATTTGCAAAAGTGTTCTGTGTGGATCTTTATATCACCTATCTATCATCTATCAGTCATCTATCTCTGCCTATCATTCATTTATCATCAACCTATCATCTATCTTCTGTCTCTTATCTATCTATGGATTTTATATATATATATATATATATTTTGAGTTGGAGTCTCACTCTGTTGCCCAGGCTGGAGAGCAATGGCGCGATCTCGGCTCACTGCAACCTCTACCTCCCGGGTTCAAGTGATTCTCCTGACTCAGCCTCCTGGGTAGCTGGGATTACAGGCATGCCATCATGCCCAGCTAATTTTTGTATTTTTAGTAGAGACGGGGTTTCACCATGTTGCTCAGGCTGGTCTCAAACTCTGACCTTGTGATCCGCCTGCCTCGGCCTCCCAAAGTGTTAGGATTACAGGCATGAGCCACCACGCCCAGCCTATCATCTGTTCTTATCTATCCTCTATCCATCTATCTTCCTATCTAATCAATATAGCTATTATTTATTCATCTATCATCTATGTATGTTCACCTCTCTGTCTCTCAACCAATCTATTTCTACATCTAGATCTACACATAGAGAGAGGAATCAGAAAAGTGTAAGCTTTAGAAACAGTATCTCCCAGCTGGGCGCCATGGCTCACACCTGTAATCCTAGCACTTTGGGAAGCTGAGGTGGGCAGATTACCCGAGGTCAGGAGTTCAAGACCAGCCTGGCCAACATAGTGAAACCCTGTCTCTACTAAAAATATAAAAGTCAGCAGGACATGGTGGAGTGTGCCTGTCATCCCAGCTACCCGTGAGGCTGAGGCAGGAAAATCACTGGAACCTGGGAGGCAGAGGCTGCAATGCATTGAGCCGAGATCATGCCCCTGTTCTCCAGCCTGGGTGATAGAGCAAGACTCCGTCTCAAAAAAATAAATAAATAAATAAAAATAAAGAAATAGTATCTCCCGTCTTTTGGTGTCTAAATGAAGGCTGCTTTTAGAAAGGGGTTGCAGTGTTTGTTCTGCTTGGTCCGCTTAGGGTTTTTTAACCCTGCCTTCTGCATTTCCAGTGGGACAGGAATGTTATAATGGGCTTGGTCCGCTTAGGGTTTTTTAACCCGGTCTTCTGCATTTCCAGTGGGACAGGAATGTTATAATGCTGAAAACCACCGGAGTTCAGTTTGTTTTACAGAGGAAAATAGAATGGGGAGGTTTCCCCAAAGTGTCCTTCTTTTCAAGATGATTGCTTGCCTATCATTTTATTCATATAATCTAAAAAGTTTTTAATCATGCCATTTCTTTCAGTGGGAAAATTAAGTTCCATAGATGTTTCTAGGATGTGGGCATAGAGTGATCCGGATGAGGAACTTTGTAAAGTCTGCATTTAATCTTCTGGTTATTTAATGGGACAGAGCCCCTGGCCCATGTGAGAGGAAAACACACAGGGGGCAGGTGCCACACGCTACGTCCCTGGTGTGGCACATGCGCCGTCCAAATGCCCCTGATAACAGGTGGGTCAGCCGTCAGCTAGCAGCTCCAGTGGAGCTTCTCGGACTTCCAGACATCGATGGGAACAACTCAGCCACTGCCTCCAATTCACATCTGTTTCTTTTGCTAAAATAAAAAATCCTGCTTTACTTGTGCTTTAATCCTCCCTCTGAAGTTCTGTGTCATCCATGAAGCCTTCTCTGTTACTCTGGTCAGAATTAATCGTGTCTCCTCTTCAAATCCCCCCAGTTTCTCATCCCTGTCAGGCACACAACTTTCTGTCTGGCACCATTGCTAGCTGTTTCTGTGCTCCTCTCCTCTTCAACATGGCAAGTGTCTCGAATGCCGTCTGTGTCTAATTTATCTTTGTCTTCACAAGAGGCACAGAAATGCTGCACATCCCAAGAAATGGTGCTGACTGGAGCCGAGTTGGGTTGTGCCTAATTGAATCCAATGGATATGCCGGGCAGAGGCTGCAGGTTCTATAGGGTCTCTGGGCGTTTCGAGGAGTCCTGTAGAAGAGCTTCTAGGACCAGAGAGAACCCCAGGGCTAACGCTCTCCCAGCTGAGTTGTCTGAGGACTGGAAAGGTTATGTGAGCACAGAAGGAAGCCCTGGTCCTCGCCTTCATGGAAGACCTCCCAAGCCTGGGCAGAGCCTTGTGGGCACAGTCAGAGCAGCCCTGTGAACTACTCGTGCATCTTGCAAACGAGGCTCCCTGGGAGAGGAGCCCTGCGCTGCAGGTTGCTGCCTTTGGCACCGTCTTGCACTCCAGAGCCTGGGCTCCTCCCTGCAGCCGGGGACAGAGGCCATGTCCCCTGCAGGGTTCACTGCAGCCTCTGGGTGTCTACTCCTGTGGAGGTCTGCCTTCGCCCCATCTGGGCTGTCAGGATATGGAAGGCCACATGGAGGCCTCTCCATCACAGCACACCTGGACTTCCACGCAGGTTTGTCTCCCTGCTCTGGGCTCCTGGGTGCCGCTTTCCCGCAGAAGCCTGAACCTAACTGAAGGGCCATTGCAGTCATCCTCCTGCTCATTTCCAAGACATCGCAGGCCTCCACATTCCCTTTTGCCTCTTCTTTGTGCTCAGACATTTCCATAGAATAGCCATGTTGCCTGACTTCCATTTTCCAGGCAAGATATGCCCTATAATGCAGCAGCCAGTACAGAGTATGTTTTTTATTTTAAAGGAAATAATTCTTCTCAGGGGTAACTGCTCAACAAAGTAATGGAAGACAGATTTGTCATCTCACACAGCACAACATGCAGTGATACATGGCACAGGCCTAGCTCCCGGCCCTCACTAATCCCATGTTGGTGCTCTTTGAATTCCTTTGTGTTGTGCACTTGCCCTAAGGAGGTTTTTAAACAATTTCTTTCTGAAGGCCAGGTACGGTGGCTCTGGCCTGTAATTCCAGTACTTTGGGAGGCTGAGGAGGGAGGACTGCTTGAGCCCAGGAGTTTGAGATCAGCCTGGGCAACTAAGCAAGACCCTCTCCTTACAAAAAATTTATGGGCATGGTGGTGCACACCTGTAGTCTCAGCTACTCGGGAGGCTGAGGCGGGAGGATTGCTTGAGCCTGAGAGGTCAAGGTTGCAGTTAGCTATGACAGCACCGCTGCACTCCAGAGCAAGACCCTGTCTCAAGAAGAAAAAAGAATTCTCTCTGGCTGAAATTTTCTTTCTCTCTGTACACCCCTTTTTAGACAAAATGTTTTCAATTTAAATATGCAATCTTCCAACTAGCCCTTGAATAACACATTATTAATAGCAAAGACACAGAGTACCTCGCTGGGAAACATGAATCATAAGATCAAAGTCACCAAATTCAGTACAGAGACTTGCTGGTCAGCAGGACAGGCCCACCAAATGGCAAATGCAAACACAGGATGGGAGAGAAGGCACTGGCCCTGGCAACGCTGTGCGAGCAGAGTGTGGATGTGTCTCGTGGACATAAAGATACGTGTACAGGCAAGAGAAAACCTCATGGAAGAAATAGGTTCATCTTGAAGGTTAAAGCAGCTTCAGCTTCTCTCTCTCTCTGTCACTTCCTGGGCAGGAGGCCAGAGGATTTCTCCTAGGATAACAGTGGACTGTGGGTGGAGGCCTCTTTTCCCCTCCTGTGGGAGAGGAGTCAAGCCTCAGGTCAGCAGAAGGGAGATGTTTCTCCTGCGGGTTAGCTGCGCGCTCAAGCACCTAGTGTCCTGAGTTTCTTCAGGGGTTCCTGCTGCCAGCCTAACGTTCCTAAATAGAGCACTCTAGGTTTCTGGCATCAAGGCTATGTGATCAGGTGTGAGGCAGGTACAAGGTGCAGCTCATCAGTCTGGAACAGCTCCCCATTCTGGAACAGCTCCTCATCCTGGAATGGCTTCTCATTCTGAAACGATTCCCCATTCTGGAATGGCTTCCCACTCTGGAACAGCTCCCCATTCTGGAACAGCTTCCCACTCTGGAACAGCTCCTCATTCTGGAACAGCTTCTCATTCTGGAAAAGTTCCCCATGCTTGAACGGCTTCTCATTCTGGAACAGCTCCTCATTCTGTAACAGCTTCTCATTCTGGAATGGCTCCCCATTCTGGAAGGGCTCCCCATTCTGGAATAGCTCCCCGTTCTGGAATGGTTCCTCATTCTGAAACAGCTCCTCATCCTGGAACAGCTCTTCATTCTGAAATGGCTACACACTCTGGAACATCTCCTCATTCTGGAATGGCTCCCCATTCTGGAACAGCTCATTCTGTCTGAAATGGCTCCTCATTTTGGAACAGCTCCTCATCTGGAACGTCCAGTTGCTTTGCATTTTCTTCTGACCTCCACTTCATACTCTCAGAGGCCATTGATCACAGTAAAAGCTGCACATCCTAGGTGGCTAAACCATGGAAAGATCACAAAGGTCTATTAGCGCCCTGTAGCAAAATGGGCCACACTTCTCTCTGCAGTCAGAGTAGAATTCTAAAACCCCACCAAATACTTCACCTTGAAAATGCATGCAGGGGACTGAAAGTGCAGTGGCTGAGCCCGCACAACTGCCTGGAGGAGCTGAGGAAGAAAATCAAATTGAGACTTAAAGGATGCTAAGATCTAGCGTAGCCAATTTCAGGAGAGAATGCTAAGATCTATGGCAGCTGATTCCATGAGAGCATGCTAAGATCTAGGGTAGCCAATTCCATGACTGCACCTTTTGGACAAGAGGACATCTGATTTATTATGCCAAGAAAGGGCAATCAAGATGAGAGAGGTTTTGTAAGTCCAAAGCCAAAGAAAAAAAAAAAACTTAAGGGCTTTATTTTTGGAGATTTCTCCATTGCATTAAATTAAGCTCTCTATAGCCTGATAGAAAACTTACAATCAAATCCTCATAATAACAAAGGTGTCAATGCAGCTGGTTTGGAGATAGGTGTGGCTGTACAAGGAACAGGGCAGCAAGGAGAAAACCCAAGGACATCTTGACTGACAGAGGGTCCAGGCGCACTCACCCGCACGCTCTCTGGGCCTCACACTTCCTCGGACTCTGGTCCACACCGCAATGAAAGGTAGGTAGTGCCAGGTCGTGGGAAAGGTGCTTGCTAACATCAGGCGGGTATTCTTGGGACAGTTCCAGGACTCAGGACAGAGCACCAGTAGTGCCTTCTCGGCTCTTCTGTTCCTCAGTCTTCTCGTCTGAGAAATGGGTGTAACAAGCCCTCTCTGCTCTTCCCTTGTAGGGTGTTTTGACTTGGGTTTAGACCAAATAAGGCAATTCCAGAGAAAGGGCTTTGAAATATCCGAAACTTTAAATCAATGTAATGTTTAAGCTGAGAAATTTTTGAATTGTATTCTTGAAGTCTCAGATGCAAAAGAGAAGCAAGAAGAATCCTAAAGTCCTTGAATTTTTCTTTTATTTGCAGGTTCTTGTATCGTGTGGTATAAAGCCCGAAATTCAGGTTGTGTTCACTGGGGCTTCTGGGCTGACAATTTGGACTGAATGAGAATCTGTAGGAACTCTTGTCAGAAGATTCAATTTTCTTTTACTAAAATAAAGATCTATAATACTTGTTGCTTTTTTTAAAAAAAAGAGCACTAACACCTCTGAGCTTTGCCTCCTTGTGCGAGAGTAATGTATTAATAATTGAGGAAAGATGGCAAGAAGGTAAAAAGAGTACAGATAGAATTCCCGGTCCTAGCCCTGAAGGAGTTCACTGATTCTAATCTTTCCTGAAGTTACAACACTGTCCTAGACAGGCACACAAACACACAGAGCAAAGAAACGAATTTGCTTGTTGAAAACATGCCGACGCTTTCTGTATTTACACTCATGTTCACTCCAACGTCCAGCTCCAGGCTGGAGACCACACGAAGGAGGCAGAAGCGGGAGGCAGAAGGCAGGTGAGCTTGTCTTGAGCACAGCCGTACTTAATCCAAACATAACCACCGTGTTCGAATTTTACTTACAACATTTCACAGATTCTAAGATGCCTTTTCTTTTTTTCACTTTTCATGTGTCTGAGGTTGGAACGCATTTTATCATGGATGGCCTTGCACAGTCACTATTGACCCAGCAAGATCCCAGGTGTCTCTCCCAGTCACTCCAGGAAGATGGTGGTACTATTTGTACAGCCCGGACGCTTCTGGCCCCACAACATGCAAGGGCCCTGGGAGAAAGAAGGAATGCTGTCTGAGGATGTTTTCTTGACACCTTCTGGTAAAATCAAGAATTCCAGAGAACATCAGCACTAAGCGTGCAGAGCCAGTGTCGGGGTTGGAACTGACTACCGGCGTGCAGGCTTGTACAAACGCTGCATTTTCAATACTCTTGATGGCAGGAAATAATGACAGGTGGAAAATTATGAATATTCGTGAGTCCGAGATTTAAAAATGTGTAAGAAAAGGCAGATTCTGTGAAGTTTTAGGAATTCCTTTATCAATGTATTATAAGATATATATATATATACACACACATACACTCATATGGAACATATGTATGCAGATACATGCCAACAGAGTTACATTAGAATCTACATTTGTGTATGTCTTAAAGAGTTTTTTAAAATGTACAAATCAAGCATGGTCATAACTGTTTCAGCAGCATTTTTCAGTCGTGCGTACAGCTGTGGTGTATCTCCCCATCAACGGCTTTTAGATTTAATGGAATAAAATACTGGATTTAATAGAGTGAAGTCTGATGTCTGTGTCCTTCTAAAATTCCTATGTAGAAATTCCTACCTGAAAAGGGATGGTATGAGGGGGTGTTAAGGGGTGGGGCCTTTGGGAAGTGATTAGGCCACGGGGGTGGAGCCCTCTCAGATGGGTTTAGTACCCCCGTAAATGAGGCCTAAGGGGGCTCATTCACCCCTTCCGCCATGGGAGGATGCAGCAAACAGGCTCCATCTGAGTCAGGAAACCCTCAGCAGACACAGAGCCTACAGCACCCGGATCTCCAGCTTCCAGCCTCAGAACTGTGGGAAAGGCGCGTCTACTGTTTCACAGGCCCCAGTGGTGGAATTTTTGTTACAAAATTCTGGATGGACTAAGACTTATGGCTTCAGGGTTAACTCATTCTCACATCAAGAAAGTGGTACAGTTATGACAATCTTCATCAATCATAGCCTAAACTACCCCTGAAGAAATTTAGGGAGGTTTCAGATTGTGTTTTCATCTCAATTAAAATGAGTTTTATCTATCTTCAGGTTTCAGAAATTAAATTTGCATTGTGGACAAATTCAAGAAAGGCATATTTTAAATGTCTTAAAGTCAAAGTAGATTTTTTTGATCTACCTTTACCATACATCCCACAAATACAGTCATGCACCCCATAACAATGCTTGAGTCAACAACAAACCACATATTCTACAGTAGCCCCATATACTACGGTGACCCATACACACACAAACTCAAGCATGGTACATATATGCCGATGCATGCCAAAGGATGTAGATTAAAATCTACATGGAGACAGAAAAGCAGATGAGTTTGTCTTGAGCACAGTCATACTTAATCCAAACGTAACAATATTCCAATTTTACTTAAGAAATTTCACAGATTCTAAGATGCCTAACAACACATTGCTCTGTCATTAAGTGAGGCATGACTGCACGTACTAGCAGGCGAGGAAGACAGTAAATGTTCAATTAATGTTTGATGATTGACCAAATCAGGTGGGATGGTGGGGGGTGGGGGGTGGAGGATGGGGAACGATTTGTCAGACATTTTGGTGAATCCAAGGTTTCACTCAAGTCAAAATAAAAATATTCATAGAGCCCAATGCAAACAAGAAAACACACAGACAACAAAAAACACAGAACGACAATGACAAAATGGCCAAGCAGGAGAGCCGCACGTGTTCCTGACCTGGCTGCAGCTGTCCCTGAGGCCCAGGCCATCCCGGACCTCACACCGAACCTGAGGTTATGGCCCCCAACCTTCCTCAGCCTCTCCTACCCTGACCACACAGTCGCTCGAGAGCCTTTCTTGATAGGAAAAAGAAATGAAAAGCTTAGCTCATTTTAACAGAATCAAAATGACCCAGACCTTCACATGTTTGTATCACAAGAGCTAAATCACATATTATTTGATGATCTTCCTTTATGTCCAGCTTGGGTTAAGTGAAGCATTAATTAGAGATGAAAATTGTTATTTTTTTAAACATAAATTTAAACTAAGTAGGTGAGTCATTTGGTGTCTGAAAAAATAAAACCTAAATAACTCCAACTTCAGACACACCAGATAATACTCTTAAACTTCCTTAACTGACTTTTAAAGTCAGTTTTTTCCCATTGGTGCTTCCTACAGCACCAGAGAAATCAGCATCTCTGTAGGATCAATGTGTTTGTGTCTGCAGGAGCTCAGATAAAGCCCTGGTTTTAGCTGAATGATTAGTTGTGATACCTTTTAAATGCTCTTTTGGGTATAGAAATGCTGACTTAGAATTTATGATAACACAGAAATCAGCTTATAGAAATATATGAGAACTATCATATCCAGGAATTAAATGAATCCACTCATAAATAAAAACATATTGATATCCACCTGTTAAAGGAGAGGAACTTGATATCTTTCTCACCGACAGATAGCAAGACAGGCACATGGAATTTTTATGCTTGCATACACTATGCTTAGGGAAAACAGGAAACAAACTTCTCTTAAAACGGTTTTATTATTTGTAATTAAGAAGCTTGCAAAATTCTCTCTCCCATTTATTTAAATATCTGAATTATTCTTGAAGATCGTATGTTACATATTTTCATTTCTTCTTCTGCTTGTTTTTGCATATGTGGCATAAATTGTGAGTAAAACTCTTGAATGGTGTTTCATATCAAACACGAATCCTCGTGTCAAGCTCTGAGCAAAGTCGTGAGAGGAGAAAGTATCTCCCAGCAGGATTATTCATTCCTTCTGTTGACATCATCTACCCATCCACGCCAACTCTGGCCGCCCAAGGCCACCAAGCTAATAGCACTCAATGGTGTTCCGCATGTATCCTCCCTATGGACTTACCAACTCCTAACCACCCAACCAGAGTGGGCCTGTCTCCTGCTTCCCACCCTGCTCTCTGCTCATTGAAAGCTGGCTCTTCTATGCTACTGGCTGGTTTTTACTAAGGCATGCATATGTTTCTCCTCCCATAATACAGATGTGTATATTCACATGGGCCTTTGGAATATGTCCATCTCATGTGCAGCCTAGAAGCTCCTCCACATGGCTCTGTCCACCCAAAATGTATTAGGAGTGACTGATAATTTCAATCAGTTCTCACTTCATCTAGTAACAGCCTTTTCTGAAATTCAATTTCCTCTCAAAAAGAGGCAATGACGCTTCTAAGATCAAGCAACCTTTCGCCTAGGCAAATGACAAACCTATGCAAGTGACAAATTTCTTCCACCATTGAAAATCGATCCATTGGAAATATTCATCATTCCAATCAATAGGGAGCTTGCGTAGGGAAACATGTGTGACTGGGCCGAGGCGGGCAGATCATGAGGTCAAGAGATCAAGACCATCCTGGCCAATATGGTGAAACCTCATCTGTAACAAAAATACAAAAATTAGCTGGGCGTGATGGTGCTCGCCTGTAGTCCCAGCTACTCAGGAGGCTGAGGCACAAGAATTGTTGAACCCAGGAGGTGGAGGTTGTGGTGAGCCGAGATCATGCCACCGCACTCCAGCCTGGGCAACAGAGCAAGACTTCATCTCAAAAAAAAAAACAAATTGTGCTAGTGTAACCATCCTTAACCAAAAGCAAACGATTATTCAGAGACAAATGTGGGTATTTGGGCTCTAGTGGATTTGGGGTTAAAATTTGGAAGTTTGAAAAAGCTAAAGGTTTCTCAGAGCCTCTTTTTAAAAGTAAGCTGCATAAGCTGCCATTCTTTATGAGGCCTCGTTTCATTCCCCTTAAACATGGCCTTGAAATTCCGTATGTGGGAGAATACATGAATATTGAATCAAAGGTGCATGGCTGGCATATTTTATGAAGATTCCCTACAATCTAACTATAAAGCACCACCAGGAAAAAAAAAGATTACTTTTATTCTGGTTGACACAAAATTATGCATTAGAGCTTCCAGTCAAAACAGACATTGTTAGGAAATGTGATAATTTTACTCCAACATTTCCCCTTGCTTTCAGAATTTTTACAAAGATATGGCTCCAGCAGGCACAATGTGGGTACTCTTTTCTAATATGATCAACTGAGCAATTCGTAAATTAAAATAAGAAAAGATGAAATCGCATTTAAACTGCACCACCACCTGGGCTTAATAAAGTTGATATTCCACCTGTTTGAACGCTCAGGAGCACACAATATTTCCATAAACCCCAGCGATCACAGCATGCTTCTTAGTCACCATGGTATCCAAATCACTTAATAGAGGAATAGCTCTGAACGGCTCTACGACACCGATTGATCCCTCACAAGGCAAATACGTAGGAGGCGAGTGTGCGCTGGACACCGCGCAGGTGACAAGAACGCGGCTGTAAGGAGGGCTACGGCCCCTATTATGGCCTAGCTTACAGGCGGGCTGGAAAGGTGGACGTTTCACTGGTAATTAACCAGAATCCCATAGAGGAGCTTGTGGTGGGAAGCCTCTCCTGGTTCAGACATTAGGAAAGGCCTCTCGGAGCGGCACTGAAGCTGAGGTATGCAGGAGCAAGTCGTGTGGAAACGGAGGAGATGGTGGGGAAAGCCACGACCAGCGGAACCCTTCAAATGCCCAAAACGCAGGGCCCTGAGCTTCCTGTGCTCAGCTATCAAGAGGGGCTACTGAACTTGAACCTCAGATGACGTCGGGGCTGGGGGAATGAAGTTGGAGAGAAAGGTGGGCCCTGAGTTTGAGAGGGTTTCGTAAGCTATGTTAAGGGATCTGGACGTCTTCCCAAGGGCCAATGAAAGATGAGAAATGAATTTAACATAAAGCTATTATGGAATGCATAGCTTCCAATGATCATTCTCACAGTTGTGTGAAGACACAGGACTCTCCAGCTGGTCAAATGGGGTACAGAGTGATGACTGAGATGCTGCCGTCCCTGTCCGAGGGGAGTGACTTTGGGGTGGCAATGGAGATGGCAAGAAGAGACGTGCTTGGAAGCACGTGCAAGAATCAGAGCCTCAACTTAGAGCTGATTGTCCTTAAAAAGCAGCACCCCACATTAGGCACAGTCTAACCAGAGTGATGAGAAACCAGGCTCCCACCCACACGAGGGTGAGGACAGTAAAGGCTCCTGACTCAGTATCACGTGAGAAATGCTGACAGAAGAATAGTCCAGGTGGTACCTGGGGAAAACCTTGTTGATTTGGGAGCAAATATGTGTAAAAGCTATCTACAAATAAAGGCAAAGCTGCCCTATAAAGAGTAATCTTGCTTGGCTTCAAAGAGCAGAACTAGGGTCTCCAGGGAGAAGCGGCGGGGAAGCCAATCTTACCTCAGCCTGAGAGAGCTTTCTAACAATGGAGGCGGTGAATCAGGCTTCCTCCAGGACCAGGACAGTGTTACCTCAGCCTGAGAGAGCTTTCTAACAGTGGAGGCGGCAAATCACGCTCCCTCCAGGACAGGGTGACGCCAGCCTGAGAGAGCTTTCCAGCAATCTAGGCTGCGAATCAGGCTTCCTCCAGGACCAGGACAGTGTTACCTCAGCCTGAGAGAGCTTTCTAACAGTGGAGGCGGCAAATCACGCTCCCTCCAGGACAGGGTGACGCCAGCCTGAGAGAGCTTTCCAGCAATCTAGGCTGCGAATCAGGCTTCCTCCAGGACCAGGACAGGGTGATGTCAGCCTGAGAGAGCTTTCTAACAATGGAGGTGGCGAATCACGCTTCCTCCAGGTCCAGGATGGGGTTAGGACAGCCTGAAGGAGTTTTCTAAAAATCGAGGCGGTGAATCAGGCTTCCTCCAGGTCCAGGACAGGGTGACGTCAGCCTGAGAGAGCTTTCTAACAATGGAGGTGGCGAATCACGCTTTCTCCAGGTCCAGGACAGGGTTACGTCAGCCTGAGGGAGCTTTCTAACAATGGAGGTGGCGCATCAGGCTTCCTCCAGGACAGGGGTTTGCTCCCCAGGTGCAGGGGCTCAGGTGAAGAATATGCATGAAGTGGGGAAGCGCAAACATCAGCGAGTATTTGACTTAAAACTTAAAAATTCAGTTCAGAGGGAGGGCAAAATTAGGCTCTGGGTAGCAGATGCTGGGTGGATTCTAACATAAATCTTTCTAACAGTTTGTGTGCTGGGAACACAAAGAGGAAAAGGCTGTTCAGAAGACACTGGGGTTCCTAGGTTCATGGAATCCAACGTGAGGATTTCTTACTCCTTTGGATACTAAGTGAAATGGGAGCCATGCTTGAGAATTACAAATAGAAAACACACAATGCAGGACACCCTATAAATATTGATTCTTAGGCCAACCAAAACCCCCTGAGGGTGACACTTCCAAAGCAGCCACTGGGCTCACATCAAGTCAGAGCAAAGAAGAGTCACCCCAGCCCAATGCCCCTGCTGGAGCATCCAGGCCCCAACAGCAAGAGAAGGACTGGATGGCTCGCCCAGGCAGGGGTGTCTTCCAGAGCCTGTGGCTGCAGCACCCACAAGTGCACTCACCAGGATTTGCACACAGGGTGCCATTTTGTTGTTTGTAGCATCTCAAGCTTCCCTTCTTGTGTTCCTCCCTTGGGTCAGCAGAACCATCCTTGGACACCAGGGGAGAGGGGCTCTTGCTCTGGGCTCTTGCTTGCAAGCTCCTGTGCTGGTCCTCCTACTGCTCCTACAGGGCAAAGGCAAGCCCCCACCTGGAAGCTGAGCCCCTTCCATGTACACTGTGTGATTGTGTGTGCTATTCACACACACACCAGCCCCTAGCCCTTATCACCCAGGTGGCCCACGTCTGACCCAGGCTCACCTGGGCCTCTCCCATGAACCTGGCTTCATCACAGCAGGCGTTAGGCCTAAGAGCTGGCTGGGCTCAGCAGTCTATAGAAAGGTGTGATGGAGCTTGGGTGCATGGTCTTGGATTGGGTGGCTACACACATAGATGGGGGGGCCCCTGATTGGGGACCTGGTAATGGGCAGGATGGGAAAGGGGAAGGTCCCTGCTGGGGGCCCGCCCTCCCCATGCCCCATGGCATGGAACTCTAAGAAAATAAGGATTCTAAATGCAGACCAATCTAGTTCAGGGGTTGGCAGACTCTGCATAAAGCACCCGATAGTAGATAGGTTCAGTTTGTGGGCCACACAGCCTCTGTCTCAGCTCCTAACTTGGACTTGTGGCATGAAAGCAGCCAGCACGTACGTGGCTGAGCATGGGCTCTGCACAAACAGGACCCAGATGTGAGCTGCTGCCCACCAATACCCGTGGTCTGTATTCCTGCATGTATGTTTGTCAAGCTGAGGGGCTGGAACACATGCAGCAGTTACTGACTTAGCGATAACCTCTAAAATATTTAGACAAAATACATGGGGGCCTCCCTGTGTGCCTCTGCCCCATTTCCCATGGGTCCCAAGGGTGTCCTCGAATCTTAAAGAGCCCAGGCTGGGAGGGCCCAGCAAGTGATCTTCTGCCACGAGGGCAGCATCCCAGATGAACACGGGGACCATAGAAGAGGCGGAAGCCCCGGAGATGTGGCCGGATGAGAGTAAGAGGGGGATGAGCAGGGCTCTGATACTAGAACCTAACTTTGACGTGTGAAGAAAATTCTGTATCTCTCCCTCAGAGACATGAGTGACTTCACCTCTGCCTCCTGCTTTGGACGTGACTGTGCTGGCCTTGGAATGCTCACAGCGGGTCCTCTCCTTCTCTGCCTCTCCACAGCTACCCACACTTGAGGGCCGGGCTTGCTCTGCATTTCCCTGAGGGTCTCACCGACACCACCTCTGCCCGGCTTCTCTGGCTCACTGCAGCTTTGCGGGTTCAAGCTGTCATGCATTGCAGTACCTGATGTGCTATTTCTGGGAGACTCATGGGCGTGTGTCTTTCCACATGATATAAAGCCCTGTGTGCCCCTTACAGTGACCTTCCTGTCTGTCACCACTGCCCACCCCTGCACCAAGCCCAGGGCCGGGCACCTCCCAGGCACTCCATAAAGGCTTCCCGGGTTGGCACTGCATCCTCGTGGAAAGGAATGAACTGTGGAACTTACGTCGGCATTGGGACCGTCTACCCTATGTCCCGCGTCGTCGGGATGAGAAGGGGAAGTCTGGTCGGCAACCAGGAGTTCATTTCTCACCATCCTTTAGGCCAGTGTTAAAATTCTGTTTCTGTTTCAAGGAAAACACGGAAGGTCAGTGTTTAAACAGATCGCTTTGCCGCTCTCGCTGCTACCTGAGCAGAAAAAACCCATCCCTGCCAGCTTACTTTCTCTGCTGCATGAACCCATCTTTTCAATAAGAAAGGCAACGTCTGCCTTCTTCACAACCAAATCCACTCACTGCGTCCACTCAGGGAGAAGGTGGCAAAATATATTCCCTTAATTGTTAGGATTAATTATTACTCTTTAAATTCACTCCAGTAGCTGGGATCTGGCTGTTAGTCCTAAAGCCCACTTAGCAGTTTTGGTGTTTTTTTGTTTGTTTGTTTGTTTGTTTTTAGTTGGATTGAGCTGTTCTAATACTCCTTTTTGGGAGCACTCCAGGCACTCCAAACAGCTCACCCTCACTGATAAATGTCCTCGTGTCAAAAATAATTACCCAGTGCAGATGGAGCCATCAGAAGGAGACTGGGACCCGCCTTCCTGCTGTCCTGGGCCCCAGGGCCCATGGTCCTAAAACAACAGCTGAGACAGCGTGTCTTCACCCGGGCAGACAGCCCTCCTGGAAAAGCTGCAGAGACCCCAGAACTGCTCTCCAGACTCATCCTCAACTTCAGAGCCTGATGATCACAAAGGCGAAGAAAATCAGGGCAGCGCTCTCTCCGCCCTGTGATCTTGAAGACGACACTTCCGTTACAGATGCTTGCACTTGGAAACAGAAGCATGAGTTGCCTTACCAAGTACACACTGGCTTGCTGCGGGTGTAGTTCATCACGGTTTTCACAGGCCTCGCAGACCGGACCTTTTCCTAAAGCACCTGATTCAGCCGATGGCAGCTCCCGATTCACGAGGCCAGAGCAGCGTGCCAACCTTCTGCAGGTTCCCCAGGTAGCGGTCAGACACAGCCACTCGGGTAGGGATGGACCCGCCTCACCCTGTGGCAGCCCCTTTCTTTCCATCGTTAATGCAGCCCCACTGCACTCAAGGTTGAGAAAACACTCGACAGACGGTTCCCCATAGCTCCAGTCACAGCCGAATCGAGGCACCTACGTCCTCATTTGCATTCATTGATCCTTCCCTGAGCCCCAGCACCAGCCACTCCCCCTGACACCTGACGCCGGGGTCTGGGGGGTGCGAGAGGCCTGTTCATGGGCACCCATGTATGTGTGCGTGTGTGCGTGCACATATCCAGAAACACACTCAGGATGCTCCAAACAGAAAGAAGAGAAGAATGGCTCCAGCAGGTATAAAGGCAAGTGTGCGCTCTCACCTGAGTTCAGGGCAGCAAACTGGGGAGACGGCAGTGATACTGGGTAAGCGGACAGGGCATCATAAGAGTCTGTGGAAGAAACTCATAGAAAATCAGAAAAATTGACCATTGATAATTGTCAGTCTCCATCAAAATTGAGCAAAAAACAAGTAATTTCCCTCTGGCCATAACCTACTTGGCTAATTTTATCCTCCTTGATATTACATTTACTGTGAGCATATGGATCATCAGAGCCTGGCACCCAGCACCATGCCAGGCCCGGGACTGACTCCTGCAGAAGTCGCTGACCTGGCATGAAGTTTCAGAGGCGAACAGGAGCTTTCTCCGCACCCAAAGGAATGGACACTGCCTTCCATGAAGCATCTGTTTTTCGCACGGTGATGGAGGTGCACCCCGTGATGCAGAAGAGGCCACACCTGCTGAGGTGGTTAATTTCAACCTGTCCACAGGACTGGGCTGAGAGAGGCCCAGGTTGCTGGCACACCTGAATTTCTGTGAGTGTCTGTGAAGGAGTTTCTGGAAGAGGTGAGCATTAGATTCAGTGGACGGAGTAAGGACGATCCCCCTCCCCAGAGTGGGCCGACTCCATCCAATTCATTGAGGACTCAGATGGGACAAAAAGGTACCGAAAGAGTAAACTTGTTCCTCCTCCTGGAGTTGGGGCATCCACCTTCCCCTGGCTCCTCCTCCTGGAGTTGCAACATCCACCTTCCCCTGGTTCCTCCTCCTGGAGTTGGGGCATCCACCTTCCCTTGGCTCCTCCTCCTGGAGTTGGGGCATCCACCTTCCCTTGGCTCCTCCTCCTGGACTTGGGGTATCCACCTTCCTCTGGTTCCTCCTCCTGGAGTTGGGACATCCACCTTCCCCTGGTTCATCCTCCTGGAGTTGGGGCATCCAACTTCCCCTGGTTCCTCCGCCTGGAGTTGGGGCATCCAGCTTCCCTTGGCTCCTCCTCCTGGAGTTGGGGTATCCACCTTCCTCTGGTTCCTCCTCCTGGAGTGGGGACATCCACCTTCCCCTGGTTCCTCCTCCTGGAGTTGGGGCATCCACCTTCCCCTGGCTCCTCCTACTGGAGTTGGGTCATCCACCTTCCCTTGGCTCCTCCTCCTGGAGTTGGGGTATCCACCTTCCTCTGGTTCCTCCTCCTGGAGTTGGGACATCCACCTTCCCTTGGCTCCTCCTCCTGGAGTTGGGACATCCACCTTCCCCTGGTTCCTCTTCCTGGAGTTGGGGCATCCACCTTCCCCTCGTTCCTCCTCCTGGAGTTGGGGCATCCACCTTCCCCTGGCTCCTCCTCCTGGAGTTGGGGCATCCATCTTCCCCTGGCTCCTCCTCCTGGAGTTGGGGCATCCACCTTCCCCTGGCTCCTCCTCCTGGAGGTGGGGCATCCACCTTCCCCTGGCGCCTCCTCCTGGAGTTGGGGCATCCAACTTACCCTGGCTCCTCCTCCTAGAGTTGGGGCATCCAGCTTCCCCTGGCTCCTCCTCCTGGAGTTGGGGCATCCACCTTCCCCTGGCTCCTCCTCCTGGAGTTGGGGCATCCACCTTCCCCTGGCTCCTCCTCCTGGAGTTGGGGCATCCACCTTCCCCTCGCTCCTCCTCCTGGAGTTGGGGCATCCACCTTCCCCTGGTTCCTCCTCCTGGAGTTGGGGCATCCACCTTCCCCTGGCTCCTCCTACTGGAGTTGGGGCATCCACCTTCACCTGGTTCCTCCGCCTGGAGTTGGGGCATCCACCTTCCCCTGGTTCCTCCTCCTGGAGTTGGGGCATCCACCTTCCCCTGGTTCCTCCTCTTGGAGTTGGGGTATCCACCTTCCCCTGGCTCCTCTTCCTGGAGTTGGGGCATCCATCTTCCCCTGGTTCCTCCTCCTGGAGTTGGGGCATCCATCTTCCCCTGGTTCCTCCTCCTGGAGTTGGGGCATCGACCTTCCCCTGGCTCCTCCTCCTGGAGTTGGGGCATCCAGCTTCCCCCGGCTCCTCCTCCTGGAGTTGGGGCATCCACCTTCCCCTGGCTCCTCCTACAGGAGTTGGGGCATCCACCTTCCCCTGGTTCCTCCTCCTGGAGTTGGGGCATCCAGCTTCCCCCGGCTCCTCCTCCTGGAGTTGGCGTATCCACCTTCCCCTGGCTCCTCCTCCTGGAGTTGGGGCATCCACCTTCACCTGGTTCCTCCTCCTGGAGTTGGGGCATCCACCTTCCCCTGGCTCTTCCTCCTGGAGTTGGGGCATCCACCTTCCCCTGGCTCCTCCTACTGGAGTTGGGGCATCCACCTTCCCCTGACTCCTCCTCCTGGAGTTGGGACATCCACCTTCCCCTGGCTCCTCCTACTGGAGTTGGGGCATCCACCTTCCCTTGGCTCCTCCTCCTGGAGTTGGGGCATCCACCTTCCCCTGGCTCCTCCTCCTGGAGTTGGGGCATCCACCTTCCCCTGGCTCCTCCTCCTGGAGTTGGGGCATCCACCTTCCCCTGGCTCCTCCTCCTGGAGTTGGGACATCCACCTTCCCCTGGTTCCTCCTCCTGGAGTTGGGGCATCCACCTTCCCCGGTTCCTCCTCCTGGAGTTGGGGCATCCACCTTCCCCTGGCTCCTCCTCCTGGAGTTGGGGCATCCACCTTCCCCTGGCTCCTCCTCCTGGAGTTGGGGCATCCACCTTCCCCTGGCTCCTCCTCCTGGAGTTGGGGCATCCACCTTCCCCTGGCTCCTCCTCCTGGAGTTGGGGCATCCACCTTCCCCTGGTTCCTCCTCCTGGAGTTGGGGCATCCACCTTCCCCTGGTTCCTCCTCTTGGAATTGGGACATCCGCCTTCCCCTGGTTCCTCCTCCTGGAGTTGGGACATCCAACTTCCCCTGGTTCCTCCTCCTGGAGTTGGGGTATCCATCTTCCCCTGGCTCCTCCTCTTGGAGTTGGGGTATCCACCTTCCCCTGATCGTGGACACTGGCCCCTAGGGCTCAGGTCTGCAGTTTGGGGAATTACACCAGCGACATTCCAGGGTCCCCACCATACAGACTGTGGGACTTCTCAGCCACGGTGATCGCATAAGCCAATTCCCATAATAAACCTCCTTCTATGTCTCAGTATTTGTCCTAATGGCTCTATTTCTCTGGAAAACCCTGACTAGTACATCTATCCCTCCTAGCCTAGCTTCCTGGAGGAAATTATAACCCTATTGTGCCCCAAGAGGTGAGCAGGAGTGAGCCAGGAGAGAAGGCCAAATATGGGTAGTCACCCAAGGTGACAGTCACCAGGACTCACCATCCCTTCCTGATGACACTTTATAACACCAGAGGCTACCAGAAGGACACTCATCAACCTAAGGTTGCCATCTCTGTCTATCATAGCCCAGTCCACAGGACTCTGTGTTGCAGTCACACAATTGGCATTTGCACCTTGGCCCACACATACTGGAAGAAGCACTTCACCGTCTGAGAGTGGAACTGGGGAAGAATGATGTGATTCAAACACGCCAGACTTTGAGAATAAACAACCAGACCTTCGACCGCATCCAGAGAACCAGGAGAACCATCTCTCAGGGCTGAGGCCACACTCCAAGGGAGATGCAGTGCAACCCTGGCACCTTCCCCTCAAGAGCCTCCCAGTGCCACTAAAGCAGAGGGGAGGTACGTGGGGACACCCTGCAGGGAGGGCCTGGCTCCCTACATGTTCTAAATCCCCACGTCAGGCAATACCTATGAACTGGCAATGCCAGCCCCTCTCAGAAGTCCAGTCTCTCAAACCTGAGCAATGCAGAAGCCACTTTGATGGAAAATATGTTATTCTGAGAATATATTTTTAGGTTCCAGTTTGAGGAACACTGACCTGAGAAACTAAAAATACATCCAGAGGGGGAAAATAGGTGCATTTGCATTGCAAATTACCTCTTGCAAAGTGATTAGCCTTCATGACTGGTGAAAGCAATTTTATTGGACTCTCACTGAAATGAAAACACAAAATTTTGAAAGAAAATCTTTGTTGTTAATTTTTATTTTGCAGAGAGTCTGAGGATTCTCATTTGAGAACTCCTGATCTCAGGGATGTATTTATAAGACTTGAGGAAACAAGAGAAGCCTCAGTGTGGTCCAGCTAAAAACTAGAGTTGAGGCTTGGTTAAACAACAAGGGAATTTGGGGAAGGAAAGCATAGTCTGAGTAGACTTCAGCTTTGTCAATCAAATTCCATAATTTCCACTGACTCACGACCAACTCCTGTGTCAAAGGCTCTGCCGGGAAAAGCAAGTAAAATTAATAGCACGGAGTGGTCTTATTCCTAATGAGACATGCAAACCAGCCTACAAGGAAGTAGAACCCAGTGGTGGGGGATTTGGGGGGCAGGTTGTCCTGGGTTCAGGATGTAACCAGGAGAGCACAGTAGCCCACAACCAACATTCGGCTTAGGAGCGGAACCAGCAGAGAACGGCCCTGAGCAACATTTGGACAGCACGTCTGGGCCCACAGGCCTGTTCTGGGATGACCTAGAACCCAGTGGCAGGTGCCTGAGGCCCCCTGTTTTGTACAGAAGAGGAAGAGAGGGAGAGCTGGTACCCACCCACGGGAGGGTTCTCTTTGCACGCTGGGACTCAGAGGGAGTGTCCTGGCATCAGGGCTCTGTGTACCCGAGAAACCACACCCATGGAATGTGATGTTTTGTTCTTTTTGGGAGACCTTCCCAAGGCCCCACATCACCTTGCTACTGGGGCCTACAGAAATCTGAGTAGTGTGTGAGATTAGAAGTGTAATTTTTATCCCTTACAGTAAATAAAATGAGTCTCTCAGCAGCAAGATGCCCATTGAAACAGCCCTTGTTGCCACCGTCTACGAACATCTACTGCCCACGCTTGGCGAAAATAATGCAACCAGTGCCTCTGCGCTGTCAGAACCTTATTAGTGTCCACAACAGAAAACGTAACGTGCTGTAAAAATAAAAGGAATCCCCATGGAAGCATCCACCGAAAAGTTGGGGCTGACTGGGGTTAGCGTCAGAGGTATTTACCGATGTCTTCGGGTCCTGACTTCTGCTCCGGGGTCCTGAGCCTCAGAAGCTCCCATTCATCCTGCACAGACGCCCTCCCCAGCAGTGAGCTCTCCCACAGGCCGCCTGCTCCCTGTGCAGCGGGGGCTCCCTGTGCAGCGGGGGCTCAGGGCCAGCTCTACCTGGGATCTTGGGTTTGCCATAAATCACACCACCCCACCCTAAGGGAGGTTCTGCCCCACACCCGAGGACAGTGCTCCTTGGCTACTGAGCAGACAGGGACATGGGCAAGAGTGGCTGATCCAGGAAGCACACGGGTGCCCAGACCAGATGAGAGCAAACCGCCACGCTCAGGTGGAGCAGCAAGCACGTCGCCCGGTACCACGTGTGCGTGGTTCTCAATCTTCTCAACTACTCTGTCAGAAATACTGTCTTCCTTTTACAAACGAGGAGGCTGAGTTTTACAGATATTGGATACACCTGCCTGGTTCACTAGAATATTAACAAAACAGTCCGTATTCAAAGCCAAGGCTTCCAACAGGAAACCTCCTCGTTGACAGCACAGTGGTTTTGCCCTCAGTTCCTCAGGCCCCGGACATTCCCTGAGCCTCAGCACTGGGCCTGCGTGTATCATCACCCCTCTCCCACCCCATCACCAAGTGTCTCCCACCCCCATCACCACCCCCTCCCACCCCTATCACCATCTCCCACCCCTCTCCCACCCCCTCCCACCCCTATCACCATCTCCCACCCCTCTCCCACCCCTATCACCACCCCTCCCACCCCTATCACGACCCCCTCCCCCCCCATCACCACCCCTCCCACCCCATCACCACCCCCTCCCGCCCTGTCACCATCTCCCACCCCCTCCCACCCCTATCACCACCTGTCTCCCACCCCCATCACCACCCCTCCCACCCCTATCACGACCCCCTCCCACCCCTATCACCACCACCTCCCACCCTATCAACACCCCTCCCACCCCTATCACCACCACCTCCCACCCTATCAACACCCCTCCCACCCCTATCACCAACCCCTCCCACCCCTATCACGACCCCCTCCCACCCCATCACCACCACCTCCCACCCTATCAACACCCCTCCCACCCCTATCACCAACCCCTCCCACCCCTATCACGACCCCCTCCCACCCCCGTCACCACCACCTCCCACCCCGTCACCACCCCCTCCCCCCCTGTCACCACCCCTCTCCTACCTGGACTGCAGCTGGCGGGTCTCACCGTCGTTATCTTCCCTGTGCGTTAACCCCTTTTGTCTCAGGCTGAATGTTCTTTCATGACTGTGGTCACTATTGGTTTTTAACTTGATGTCTGAGAAACATGACCTTTCATCCATGTCTGTGATATGTCTGAAAACAGGATTAACCACAAAAATGAAAAATTAAGGACCTGAGTTATTTACTTCAGTTTAGAAAGCAAACGGGACAGAGAGCTTGTCGCTTTCACCACCCGGTGGGGGATTCACACATCGAACCTGCCGTGGGAAAAACCAGCCTGGTTCCCATCTTCTCCTCAGAACCAACAGGTGAGCAGGGGAGGCAGAGTCTCTGGCCACGTGCAGAAGCACCTGTGGGATACCCTGTCTGCTGTCTGGGGTGGCCAGGCTAACAAGCACTGGTTTCTGGTCTGCAGGAGATGGATGATAAGGCCTGGGGCTGTCTGGGCAGAATGCCTTTTGTCTCTGAGCTTTGCTCCTTGGTGACCACATGAAGAACTGAAGCAAAGGCTGTCCCTGGGAAGGAGATGGGTGCAGATGGATGTCACGCACTCTGCAGACAGCCCGGTCTTCAGAGAGACCACCCTGCTCTAAGATGACACAGCCCAGGAATGGGGTGCTGTGTCCTCACATGGCCTGTTTATAAATGTCCCTGTTAAGAGTATTAGTCCATTCTCACACTGCAATAAAGAACCACCGGAGACTGAGGAGTTTATGAAAAAAAAAAAAAAACAAGTTTAATTGACTCATAGTTCCCCACAGCCAGCATGGCTGGGGAGGCCTTAGGAAATGTTCAGCCATGGCAGAAGGTAGAGAGGAAGCAGGTACGTCTTCCCTTCATGGAGCAGGAGAGAGAGCGAAGGGGGACATGGTACACACTTGCATTTATTTATTAATATTATTATTATTATTGGAGACAGAGTCTCACTCTTACGCCCAGGCTGGAATGCAGTGATGCCACCTTGGCTCACTGCAACCTCTGCCCCCCGGGTTCAAGTGATTCTCGTGCCTCAGCCCCCTGAGTAGCTCGGGATCACAGGTGCATGCCACCATGCCTCGCTAATTTTTTTTTTTTTTTTTTTGTATTTTTAGTAGAGACCGAGTTTTGCCATGTTGGCCGAGCTGGTCTTGAACTCCTAGCCTAAACTGATCCACCTGCCTTGGCTTCCCAAAGTGGTGGGATTACAGACATGAGCCACCTTGCCTGGCCAGCTACACACTTTTAAACAACCAGATCTCATGAGAACTCACTCACTATCACGAGAACAGCAAGGGGGAAATCCACCCCATGACCCAATCACCTCCCACCAGGTCCCCCATCAGTGTTGGTGTTTACAGTACAACATGAGACCTGGGTGGGGACACAGAGCCAAATCATATCAATAAGTAAACTTATTATGGTTTGGACAAAATACTTTAGTAAATAGCATGTAAACAGCTTATAACATTCTCCCACTGTCCTTGGCGTTTAATGTTATTTATTTATTTGTATCAGAGACCAAATGTGAGCCACTTCAATCAAGAAACACATCTACTAAACTAGACTGCAGGACACATGAGTTTCCGTCCTGATTTGCTGCTCACTAACTAGCTGTGAGCCCTCAACCTGTTTCCTATTTATAAAATAACAGGTCAACCAAAGCCTTCCTTAGTCCTAAATCTGACAAGTCCACTGGTTCAGGGGCTTGGTTGCAGGATGGGAGGGGCGAGTGGTAAGGATACTTTGTGGCCTCTCTGCATCCTCTCAGAGGCAGATGCATAAAAATTAATTTAGATAAGAACAATGGTATTCTTTAAATTTTTTTTGTACTTTAAATTCCAGGATACGTGTGCAGAACGTGCAGGTTTGTTCCATAGGTATACATGTGCTGTGGTGGTTTGCTGCACCTAACAACCTGTCATCTAGGTTTTAAGCCCCACATGCATCAGGTATTTGTCCTAATGCTCTGCCTCCCCTTGTCCCCCACCTCCAACAGGCCCTAGTGTGTGGTGTTCCCCTCCCTGTGTCCATGTGTTCTGATTGTTCAACTCCCACTTATGAGAGAGCAGGCAACCTACAGAATGGGAGAAAAATCTTGCAATCTAGCCATCTGACAAAGTCTAATATCCAGAATCTACAAGGAACTTAAACAAATTTACAAGAAAAAAACAACCCCATCAAAAAGTGAGCAAAGGACATGAACAGAGCCTTCTCAAAAGAAGACATTTGTGCAGCCAACAAACATGAAAAAAAGCTCAAGATCAATGATCATTAGAGAAGCGCAAATCCAAACCACAATGAGATACCATCTCACACCACTCAGAATGGCAATGATTCAAATGTCAGAAACATTGGTATTCTAATAGCGTTTCTTTGCACATCATCATTTAAGCGTGTTAGAATTATGATGCATTTATTGTCATTTCCACTGTTTCAGAGGAGAGACAGTTCCTCTGTGGCAATTGTACAAGTCATGAATCCTAACACCAGAGATCTGCTTGAGACTCTGAACGTTTCTGCTGTAGCTGGTTTCTGTTTTCTGTTTCTTTATAGAAGAGTTTGGTTTTTTTATTTTTATGTATTTATTTATTTATTTTTGAGATGGAGTCTTGCTCTGTTGCCAGGCTGGAGTGCAGTGACGCAATCTCGGCTCACTGCAACCTCTGCCTCCTGGATTCAAGAGGTTCTTCTGCCTCAGCCTCCAGAGTAGCTGGGACTACAGGCACCCATCACCATGCCCAGCTAATTTTTGTATTTTTAATAGAGATGGGGTTTCACCATGTTGGCCAGGATGGTCTCGATCTCTTGACCTCGTGATCCACCCGCCTCGGCCTCCCAAAGTGCTGGGATTACAGTTGTGAGCCACTGTGCCGGGCCTCCTTGTAGGACATATTAATTTAGCCACATCACTACACAATCAGTTTAAAGAAACATGGTAAATGCTGGCTACTTGCCGATAGTGTCAATGAGGCCCTTAGAGACTTGATGACCTCAGCAGGCAAGGATCAGTGGGTAGAGGAGGCTCTAAATTGTTCCTTCCTCATCACAAGGCTGCGGAGAAGTTGTTGCTCGCAGAGACGTATCAAACACCAACATTTCTGTCCTCCAGCTTTGAATACTCAAGTAGTGAGGCTCAAAGAGGTACGGGCTTCTGAGAGGAACTTTTGCCCTAGAATTAACACAAAGTGGACATTTACGGAATAATTCAACAAACACTTAACAAACTCCTACTATAAGAAAAGTGCTTGGATAGAGATAAGTAAAAATTGTTCTCTCTACTGAAGAGTTGAAGTCAAGGCTAACGTAATTACTCCATTTCAGCACAATTTCACAATGAGACAAGGAGAACACTAACCATTATGTATAATGGCAATCCAACCACATCTGATGTGCAAAACCCCTGGGATGGTGAGTTCAAATAGACCAGGAGCTGATTATAAAAATGTGAAGGTGCCCACGGAACGTGGGGCTCCCGGCGAGTGACCTGCTGGGACACCAGATGCTTTTGGTGGATATAACAGAAGAGAGTTGATGAGTGAGGTGGCCAGGGTTCAGGTCTCAGTTCCACAAAAGTTAGATGTGCGACCTCCAACCAGCAGCTGACCTTGAACAGCTCCACTTCATCACTGCAAAATGTAGTTTATTCCTACTGGCTGGGCTGACTGGCTTCATGAGCCTGAAATCTGTGCCATCTCATAGGGCCCCCTACTCACTGGGAAAGACCCATACTTGATTTAATGTTCTGCTTTCCCCATCTAGAAATTCTTAATAATTTTTGAACAAGGGGACCCTCATTTCCATTCTTCACTGGACCCCTCAAAATATGCTCCTTTTCTGCCTCTTAGGATTGTGGAGGTTAATACAACAGTGTTTATTAGCATTTAATATAGGGTCTGGCACTTAGCAAAATGCCTAATATATAGTAAACGCTAAATAAGTGAATGTTGTTTACTATTATCGTTACTGCTGTGGTAAGCTCAGGGAGAAAAGCGTAATTAAGTTGGTATCTTTCAAGGAGGCACATGGGATGTCATCCGTGTAATACTCTTTCCTAATGTAATTCTGGGGACTTTGAAAGGTTCCTACGAAAAGCTCTTTATTGGCAGAACCAGGTAACATTCCTAAGACTTACCAGGCTCTGCAGAGAAGGAATTACATGTTGCATTTCAAAAACAACTCTTGAGTGTCGCCGAGTATTGCTGAGCTGTAGCTGGCCAGGGGCTTTCAATTGTGTTGACCTCAATCCCTGGTAGGAAATGCATTTCCTTCGGTGATCTTGTACATCAGAATACTGCTCGGCAGAACAGCACTCACTCCTCCCACACAGAATGCCACCTGGTGTCTTTGAGGCTGGTCGTGACCCACTCAACAGACCTCACCACCCACTAGCGCTTGGCTACTTACAGCTTGAAAAACAACACTTAAGGCAGCTGCTTAAGTCAGAGAGCTCTGCAAGACATTTGGGGACCCCCCAGCCTTGATCCCGGGGAGCCGCTGGCCATGGGGAACTGCCTCGGCCTGCACTGCCGTTGTTGGTGGCAGCTGGCATAGGACAGTCTCACACCCTTCCCAGACGCAGCTGCTGTGCCCCAGAGAGGGGAGGGTGGCAGGCGGTCCCTGCTGCTGTGTATTACAGAAGGAAATGGGACACTGGTCTCTAACGCCCGAGATCGGGTCTTCACTGCAACCCACCAGCCTTCTAGGTTTTCCTGACCTGGGAATCTGGTAGAGCTGCACCTACCACCAGCTGGAGGTTGGACTTGGCCATGTCACTTCCTGTGGCCGAGGAAATATAAACAGAAGTCAGGCAAGTCGGCTCTGGAGAAAAGCCTTCCAGCACCGATGACTCATTGGCATTCCTGGCAGCTCCTGCCAGGTGATGGTGATGTCGAGGGGCCACTGAGGCAGGGGTCCTGAATGTGACCACAGACCACAAATTGGGGCCTGGGGCAGATCCTGACCAGAGGGTTCCAGAACTAAGGCAGAGGGGGCTAAAGGTACAACTTTCTTAAGACTTACTGATTGTGTGGGTTTTTTCCTGAGCCAACCGGCTTACAGCATATGTATAAAAGCAATGATAGAAGTATAATTTGGTGTAGTAATTTTACCCTAATTCACACTCCCCTTCCATGTGTCCTGCCGATGATTTTGGTAACCTTCTGCTTTCACAAATATGAAGTCAACAACATTTTCTTTCATTTTTATTGTCTGACAAAAGGGAAAGAAACATTCATTAAGAACAAGTCACCTGTTTTCACTGAGGAGTTATAGACAATAACAGAATGAAGCCACCGCACCTTTCCCACACGCTGCTAAAGGCTGACCATTCCAAATACTGTCAATGCGATGCTGGCATCCTGTGAGATGAGCGGGAAAAATACCTTGGAAGCACTGGTTACCCACAACACTTTGAAATACTTAATTGGGTTTAAATTTCATCAGAGAAAAGGTTCTTTCATGAAAACTCAATTAAATAACTACATAAAGGGCGTGGGGGGAAGTGTTCATTACTAATTACGCAGAAAGCAAAAAATACGTATATTAAATATTACATGTCTCCCCTCCTCAAACACCCAAGTACTTCAAAATAAATGGACGACGAATATGTGGGTTTCATTCCTAAGGAACGTCGGGCTACTCAGCAAAGCAAAATACCCTCTTCGCTCTTCACCTCCCCGGACGGCGTTGCGTGTGTTGAAAGTCACAGGCGTAATTCAAGCAGGAGGCTCAGGACAGAAAGCCTGGAAATCCTGCAGACCAGGCCTCGCCCACCGGGCAGGAGCCGCACAGCCTGAAATGCGGACCAAGCCCGCCACCTAGTGGCCACAGCGATTGTCGCGGCTGCGGCGTTTGGGGATGTTGATCTGAGTCCTTTCTCTTTTTGTTCCTCGTCTCCTCTTTTCTTTCCCTGTCTCCAAGATTTTTTTTTAATCAAATATATGTGAAGAGGTCGGGCGTGGTGGCTCAAGCCTATAATCCCAGCACTTTGGGAGGCCAAGGCAGGTGGCTCACCTGAGGTCACGAGTTCAAGACCAGCTTGGCCAATGCGGCGAAACCCCATCTCTACTAAAAATAAAAAAAAATTAGCCGGGTGTGGTGGCAGGCACCTGTAATCCCACCTTCTCGGGAGGCTGAGGCAGGAGAATCGCTTGAACCTGGGGGGCAGAGGTTACAGTGAGCCGAGATCACACCACTGCACTCCAGCCTGGGTGATAGAGTGAGACTCCATGTTAAAAAAAAAAAAAAAAAAAAGATATGTGAAGAAAATCATCTGGAATCTTTAAAGGTGCACCTTGCTCTCCTGGGAGAGGGCGCACGGCTGCGGTGCTCCAGTCGGAGTCAAGACAGTCCCTGGGGAGTCCACGCAGGAGGTGCGGCCACGCGGCATTCAGGCTACGGCCTCCTTGAGTGCTTTCTCATCACCATTGTAAAATCACGTTCCTGATTCTTATACCACAACTTATTCTTTTAATGCCCCAATATTAGGATGTAAGAAATTATCTATGGTGGAATAATTTGTTTTCATTTCATATAAAATTGAAAAACGTATTAAAGAGCTTGATGTTGCTGAAAGATGACCCACATCAATGTATCTTCATGTAATTATTTCTATTACATGTTTATTGTGTTTTGAATCCACACAACAAATCACAGACAGCATGAACCCCGCAGCCAACAGGTCTCAATGCAAAGCTTGCAGCCATACTTAGATACATCATCTGACAATGTAAAGAAAGGTGCTCACCTCATTTTTAAAGTCAAGGAGAAGAATTGCAACCTAATGTTTAGTACATTTTTGTGTTAGGACATATATCTGGTCATTCCTTTTTTGTTTTGTCTTATACTACTTATACTCATATTTATGTAACCCAAAGAAATAAAATTCACCCTCCCACCTTATCAAATATGTTGAAAACAAACATATCTTGTTTTCTGGAATTATGAATGTGAGTGAGGAGCAGCTGAGCCACCCTATGGCAGGGCAGCTCGGCTCTCAGGGACAGTCATGCGGGCATGGAGCTCCCTTCCCGGCCCAGGGCTTTGCTGCAGCTGAGTGGGATCCTCCTAGAGATGCACAACTTCCTGGCGGGCCCTGAGGCGAGCGCCCAAGGAGGGCTTCCTGGTGACCTGCGGCAATGCCCGCTCCTCTCAGGCGAGCTTCCCATTGCAGCTGCCCTGCTCTGGGCTGGTGTTTGTCTTCCTGCGCTGATTTCTGTGTAGAAACTTTGAAAATTCCTAGCAAGAATTGGTGCGTGTGTGAGAGTGTGCAAGTATGCGTATGTGTGCATGTATGAGCATGTGTCTGTGCACTCATGTGAGACTGTGCGTGTGTCTGTGCATGTGTGTATGTGTGACTAGGTGTGTGCATGTGATTGTGTGTGCTTATGCATGTGTGCATATCTGTGGATGTGTGCATGCATGTTTGTGCACGTGTGCCTGCATGACAGTGTATATGTGTACATGTGAGAATGTGCCTGTGTGTGCATATGTGAATGTGAGTATTGTGTGCATGCGAGTGTTGCACATGTGTGAACATGTGCATGTGTGTATGGGCACAGGTGTTCGTGTGTGTGTGTATGTATGTGAGTGTGCACGTGTGGATTCATGCATGTGTGTGCCTGTGTGAGTGTGTGAATGTGTATATGTAAGGGTGTGCATTGTATGTGAATGTGTATGTTTATATTTGTGTGTTGATGCATGCTTATATGTTACTGTTAATGAGCATGTGTATGTCCACGAATAACATGGCTTTCATAACCCTTTAATAAGATAAATAGCACTACTATTATGGACATTGTATACATAATTTTATCTATTTTTTATATCCTTCAAAAGATGTATTTAAAGAAAACAAGACAGAGGATGATGGAAAAATTAAATGTGGAACCAGCCCATAGAACACAGCATTTTCTCTACACAGTCATCAGTTCCCTCATGACTATTCGCTCTTTCATATCGTGGAAATAATGGTGCTTATTCTGCTCAGTTCACACTACATTGTAGGATTAAGTTGGACAACATATCCCGAAGCGCTGCATACGCTGTGAGTAACAGGTGAGCACAATGACGGTGATACTCAGCATTAGCTGCAGATGCTTTCTTGGGTCCTCCCTTCCTTGTAGGCAACAGTGGTCCCTGCCTGCCTGTCAATCAAACCCCCATTTCCCACTGGGCATTTAGCAGGATACGTTTCATCCCCAGAAACCACATCCTGCTCAACTGTGATTCAAGAATACGCCCAAGCTCCTCTCATCCCCCATCACCTCCCAGATTTCCCTCTCCACCGCTCCCTCTTCGTTTGTTCAGGCACAGTTCACTGTCTGCCGCCTGCTGCATGCGGGGCTTAGGCCACACAACGGGGAGCACGATGGCTGTGGATTCTGCACTTTCTGAGTTTACGTTGCAGTAAACACATAAACTCATATAGGCGATCTCATGCTGTCCTTTACTCTTCCTGTGTGCATGGTTTTCACCCAGAGATTGGAAGTTCTTCAAGGAAAGAATCACATTTTGCATTTTTATATCCTTCACGGTATCAGCAGTTGTTTACTCATTCAATAAGTATTGAATATCTAATAACACATTAGACCTTGGGGATAAAATAATAACAAAAGATTGTTTTTTCTCTATTGCAACTAACTGCATAGTAGGAAATTTGATGTCTACACAGTCAATAATACAACAGAGAGGAGAGCTCTAAAATACAGGACGTGTGAGCCCCCCAGGGGAGAGAAGATGGAACGCTAACAGCCAGGGGAAGAGGGAGGAAGGCGCCGGCCCTCTGGGAGGAAGCGGCTCTGGAAGGAAGTGGCCTGCAATCTGAGGCCTCAGGATGAGAGGAGATGAGCCAGGTGAAGAGAAATAAAATTACATTCCAGGCAAAGAGGAATGAAATAGAGAACAGCACATCGTTTTAAAGAAATATTTAAGAAAGACGAGTTGCTTAGAGGTTATAATTTCAGAGTTGAGCAATTGATTCTGTCTTTATAAGACTTTATATGACTTTTATAAGATGCAGTAAGTCATTACTTAGAATAATGGTTGTCAATAATAAAAGTTTCAAACTCAATAATTAGTTTTAAAACAATAAATAAATATAATAGCATTGTAATTTTTGTCTGTTTGTTTGTTTGTAGAGACAAAGTTTTTAACTCCAAGGCTCAAGTGATCCTCCTACCTCGGACGCCAAAATTGCTGGAATTACAGCTGTAAGACACCATGTCTGGCCTGGCATTGTAATATGAATGCTTTTTTAGGGGGAAAATGTTGTGGTATAAAATCTCGCGGCTAGGCGTTTAAATGATGCCTTCAATGAACCGCACTCTAGCAACGGCTCAGCAACATAGAGCTGGGAATTAGCAAGGTAAAGACCCCAGTGATATTCGGGGAATAAACACGTCCACCCCATAGCTTTTCTCAACCTAATTTTATTCCCGGAGACAGGGTCTCCACACTTGGCTGCAATGACAACCACCAGAAATATCTTCCAGTCCTCATCAAGTCCCAGAACCAGTCATTCAAATTGCCGTGGGGAGTGACATCAACTCCCCACGAAAGTGAAAGCCGCCCAGGTGTTTGGATTCAAAGCACGGAGGAGTTCAGGGAAGCAAACAGACTCCTCGGCCCGCGACCCAGCACCCCCGCCTGAGCTTCCCACGCTTCCAGGCTTAGCCTCCTGTGTCCTCATTTGCAGAGTCGCAACCTAGCACGCCTGCCTGAGCTTCCAGGCTTAGCCTCATGTGTCCTCATTTGCAGACTCTCTTCTGGAGCCATCGGTGTCACCCCCCTCCGAGAGGTGACACGGTCCCTCTGCTCCCCCGTTGCGGCTAGTGCAGGACTCTGCACCTCCCACCAGGCAGCTCTCAGCCCTGTCCGCTCCAAATGTTTCCTTCCTTACAGGAAAACTCATCTTCACGTGGGCGAGGAAAGGCCCACAGATATTTAAGACTGTCTGTACCAGTGTGTCTGTCGTGCTTTTTGGAAGCCAGGATGAAAAACAAGGGTTCCTGCCCTCAAAGAGCACATACTCAGACATCTCACCTGTTTCCAAAGCCCCAAGTGAGCAAAAGTGAAGCTCACCAGGCCCACAAACTCACTTTTCAAAGAGAATTTCCTGTCCCTTTCCCAGGGTCTTCTGTGGTTCTCCCAACATTCAGGTGTCCTAGCCCTGGCAACAGATTTGACTGATATCGAAATCCAGTTCTAAGTAGCCTGGTCTGGGTGTTCTCACCACACACCTGAGCGATTAACACAGACAGTAGCATATCACTTAAGGGATTCCCACCTCTCAACACCTGCCTCGGGGCACCCTGCTGGGATCCTCCTGCTCCCCAGCCCTGCCCCACCTCAGTCCCCGCCCTGTGCTTGGTGAGTTCCCCTTCTTGGCTGCCCAGGTTCCTCTTTCCTCAGCATCTCACTGTCCATCTGCCAGAAACCCCGGCTGCCTCTAACTCCAGAATATGGCCAGGTCAGTCAGCTCTCACCAGCTCTCCCTTCACCCACCTCCTGCTTCTGGGTGGCTAAGGAGCCCCTTCGCTGGTCCAGTTCTACCTTCCTCCCTGTATCCGCCTGATCCTTCTGCAAACAAGAGGCCGAGGAAACACTGGCTGCACATGACACACTTCTCTCCTGTCTGTGCCTGGCCTGTGTGCTCTGCATGTGACACTCCTCTCTCCCGTCCACGCCCGGCCTGTGTGCTCTGCATGTGACACTCTTCTCTCCTGTCCACGCCCGGCCTGTGTGCTCTGCATGTGACACTCCTCTCTCCTGTCCATGCCTGGCCTGTGTGCTCTGCATGAGCACTTCTTCCTTTGCCTACCTGCTGTCCTCTCTCTCTCCACCCACTGCGGTGGCTGTGTGCTTCTCCAGACACACCAGGCCACTCCTGCCCCAGCGGCACCTGCCTCTCCATCCTCCAAACACCCACCAGGCTCCCTCCCTTCTTTCCAGTCCATTCTCCAAAGGCCCTTCTCACCGAGGTCTCTCCTGGGCATGGCCTTAGATCTCTCACCCACCCCAGCCCTCCCAGACCCTCTTCTTCTGCCCTAATTTTGCACATAGCTCTTGCACCCACTGAGCGCTCTAATGGCAAGCCCATCTGATGGCTGTCCATCTTCCCTGAGCTGACATGAGCTCTCTGAAGACTCGAGATCTTCTGCCTGCTCGGTTCACTGCTTTATCCCTGGCATGCAGAGCCAACTATTAATCACCACCATCAATACATAGGATGTGGCCTCTGTGAGCGTTTTGCCTCTATTTTTCCAATTCATCCTCATAATAAATTCAAGACATGAGTTTTGGAGTTTCCTCCCCATTTTACAGATGAGGAAGGAAGGCTGAGAGGTTAGGTGACCTGGCCCCATTGAGGACATGCAGGAGGTCTGCAGACCCAAGATGGCCCCGTCCCCCTTCACTCTTGGTCTGATCCAGCCCCTTCCGCACAGTGTCCTCCTTGAATCTTTTGCTTCAAGCACAATTATTATAAATATGCACCCAGAATTTTTATTTTATTTAAGTTCTGGGATACATGTGCAGGATGGGCTCTCCAGAGCTCTCCAGAGCTGTCTCTCTCCCACCTGTAAAAAGTCCACAGATGTGGATTTTTTTCAGCCCATGTGGCAGGTAAGGTGGCCACCTCACAGTGGTCAGCCTCAGCCTTCAGGGTGATGAAAGAATGAGTCTGCCTCTGGTTTTTCTCTGTCTCTCACACTCTCTCCAGGAATATTAAAAACAAAACAACTACAAAAAAAGCAGAGTTTGATGGTTGTTTGTTACTGACTTATTCCAGATTTGACAGATAGTTCTTCCCTACCTCCACTTCATTCAACAGCCTTGTATCATGTGGCTAGATGAAGGGTAGATAGGTAGGTAGATAGATAGATAGATAGATAGATAGATAGATAGATAGATAGATGGATGAATGGGTGGATAGATAGAAGATGATAGATAGATAAATTGATGGATGGATGGATGGATAGATGGATGAATGGATATATCGATAGATAGGTGAATGGACAGATGGATGGATGGATACACAGATGAGACAGATGGATGGATAGATAGATGTAGATGAAAGAAATAGAGAAAGGAAAGAAGGATGGAAAAAAGAAAGAAGGAAGAAAGGAAGAAAGAAAAATGAAAGAAAGAAAGAAAAAGAAAAAGAGGCCGGGCACGATGGCTCATGCCTGTAGTCCCAGCACTTTGGGAGGCCGAGGTGGGCTGATCACAAGTTCAAGAGATCGAGACCATCCTGGCTAACACAGTGAAATCCCGTCTCTACTAAAAAATACAAAAACTTAGCAGGGTGTGGTGGCGGGCACCTGTAATCCCAGCTACTCAGGAGGCTGAGGCAGGAGAATGGCATGAACCCAGAAGGTGGAGTTTCCAGTGAGCCGAGATCAAGTCACTGCACTCCAACCTGGGCAACAGAGCGAGACTCCATCTCAAAAAAAAAAAAAAAGAAAGAGAAAGAAAATGGTAGCTAATACATAAATGTTATAATATCCCCAAGAGTTTCCTGAAGTCGAGGATAATGACATCTGATTCCTGACATCATTCACAATGCCTAATACATACCAACTACTTAGTATTTCTTGAGTAGATGTCAAGCCACGTTTGTATATATTTTGTTTCGTTTTTAATGTTCTATCTCAGACACAGTGGATGCCAGAGAGTTCATTCTCCTTGATAATAGATCTCTTTAATTCAACCCATTGTCCTCTTGCCACTTGTAGTCACATTCTAGCATCATGGTCAGTGCATACAGTTTTATTTGAAAAGCCATAGATTGACATTGGATTATTAATAACTGAGGTAAGTAAGAAGGGGTGTATGTTGTTGATTACTTTTCCGGGCTATCACTTATCTAGACAGACATTGACCATATTATTGGAAATATGCAGGAAGGCACAATTTTTTTCTGCAAATTCAAGGATGCAGGAAATACTACATGTACTTACCGACTGCCCTTAAGTCTACTCCAGGTCTAAACTTTCACCTCCCTGTATTCCATCTAAGGACCGGACAAACCCAGGCAGGAAGCAGGACAGAGACCAGGGATTCTCCTGATTCTGCATCTTGTTAGGTTCAGAAGACAACACCCCAAAATGAAAACATCAGAAGAACCCTCAGGAGCGAAAGGTTTTCTCTTACTTCCTGCCCTCCCGTCTCACAGTCCCTTTCTCCCCTGAGGCTGGCCATAGAAACTAGAATCCCTTTAACCAAAGGCGGGTCATAGAAACCAGAACCCCTTTTCCCCAAAACCAGCCATAAAACCCAAAAATATGATTCTTACTTTCCTCCTGCATTTCTGTGTAAAAACTGATAAGGAAATCATCTGACCTACTTTGACTGAAGGTTCTAAGATCCCCGTTCCAGAAAGGATCCTGCCCGCAACCCAGAAGGAAGAAACTGTTCAGAGAGACCAAAAAACATATTGACCCACAGGCCTTGCTGGGTTTGGGCAGTCAGTCTATTAGCACGACAGCATGGGCCTTTTTGTCCAATCACGTTTCTTTTTCTTTTTTCTTTTTTTTTTTTTTTTGAGATGGAGTCTTGCTCTGTTGCCCGGGTTGGAGTGCAGTGGCACCATCTCAGCTCACTGCAACCTCTGCCTCCCGGGTTCAAGCAATTCTCCTGCCTCAGCCTCCCGGGTAGCTGGGATTACAGGCACCCACCACCTGTAATCCCAGCTAATTTTTGTATTTGTAGTAGAGACAAGGTTTCACCATGTTGGCCAGGATGGTCTCGAACTGCTGACCTCAGGTGATCCACTCACCTTGGCATCCCAAGGTGCTGGGATTACAGGTATGAGCCACTGTGTCCGGCTGTCCAATCACATTTCTATATGGCTGTCCATACCTCACTGAACCTAAGCATAGAGATCGACAATTTCCCCTATATCTTTGGGCCTTCATTCTGAAGGCTCCCGTGTCTACACACTAATTTGTGTGTTGCCCAGGTTAATTTTCTCTGATTAACCTGCCTTTTGTAAGTTGATTTTTCAGCTAACCTTCAGAGGGTGAAGGGGAAGTTCTCCCTTGGCTCCTACAATCACTTGTCCTCAGTGGCTTCTGCTGCTGTTTCTGTGGAAGCCAAGGCACAGTTTCTCAGCAGCAGCCCCAGAAGGTGACAATATCAGCCTATCCCAGGCACGACGCACAGACCCTCTCCCCTGGGCCCTCCTCTCTCCTTGTGTTGCTCAAAGGCTCTACCCCTAAAACCTAAGTGGGACAATGAGGTAAGCTGATGCTTGGTGGTGAGACTCTGACTGCCAGAAACACTGAGTTATAACCATGGAAATCCCAGAGGCAAGAAATTAAGATGTCCTGAGTAAAGTCAGGGAATAAAAATAATAAAATATAAATTATCTCAAAAACATCCACCCATAAGTGGAAAATCCAATGTCCCAATGCATAAACTTACTGTTATTGGCTGTGATTGAAATCACATTGGACATTGTATTAGTCTGTTCTCACACTGCTGTAAGAAATACCTGAAATAGGGTAATTCATTTTATTTATTTATTTTATTTATTTATTTATTTATTTCTGAGTCAGAGTCCTACTCTGTCACCCAGGCTGGAGTGCAGTGGAACGATCTCGGCTCACTGCAAGCTCTGCCTCCTGGGTTCACGCCATTATCCTGCCTCAGCCTCCCGAGTAGCTGGGTCTACAGGCTCCCTCAACCACACCTGGCTAATTTTTTGTATTTTAGTAGAGACGGGGTTTCACCATGTTAGCCAGGATGGTCTTGATCTCCTGACCTTGTGATCCACCCACCTCGGCCTCCCAAAGTGCTGGGATTACAGGTGTGAGCCACCGTGCCCAGCCTGAAATAGGGTAATTTATAAAAGAAAAGAGGTTTAATGGACTCACAGTTACACGTGGCTGAGGAGGCCTCACAATCATGGCAGAAGGTGAAGGACTAAACTCACATCTTACATGGCAGTGGCAAAAGAGCGTGTGCAGGGGAACTACCCTTTATAAAACCATCAGATCTTGTGGGACTTACTCTTTATCACGAGAATAGCATGTGAAAAAACCTGCCCGGATGATTCAATTATCTTTCACCAGGTCCCTCCTATGACACAGGGGGATTATAGGAGCTAAAATTCAAGATGAGATTTGGGTGGGGACACAGCCAAACCATGTCACATATCTTCAGTTCACATCAATAAATACGGGTCAATTATAGAATTGGAAAGATATGAATGAGTTTCCCAACTTGTTTCTCTTATAATCAACATTAAAATTTTCCACCTCCCTCCCTTTCTTTCTTCCTGCCTTTATTTTTCTTTCTTGGCTTTCTTTTAGTTTTGGTAAATCTATAATTTTTGCTTCAGCTTTTGGCTTTAAATCTTTCCTGACCCAACTTATTTAGCATGTGAGCAATGGCTGATTAACAATAAAATTTTAGAAAGCGGGGGTCATTCCTGCCTGCTTCATAGCAATTATCTTATGAAATCCTGCTTTTGCTCTCTCTTCAAGGTATCTCTGTTTTGTTCTTGTTTCTGGCTTTCAAGTCACTTTTCAGATTTGTTGATGAAAAGAGTCAAACTCTCCAAAATATCTGAAGGGATTTATTCTGAGCCAAATATGAACGACCATTGGCTCATGGCAGAGCCCCAGGAGATCCTGAGAACATGTGCCCAAGGTGGCCAGGCTACAGCCTTGTTTTATACATTTTAGGGAGACTTAGGACATCAATCAATATGTGTAAGATCTACATTGGTTTGGTCTGGAAAGGGGGATGACTGCAAATGGGAGTGGGGGAGATGGGGGGCTCCAGGTCATAGGCAGTTGCAAAGATTTTCTGATTGGCAATTGATCAAAAGAAGTATTATCTAAAGACCCGGAATCAATATAAAAGAATGTCTGGGTTAAGATAAGGGGTTGTAGAGACCCCCTTATCATGCAGATGACTCCTCCAGGTGGCAGGATTCAGAGCTCTTATCAGATCTAAAAAGGTGCCAGACTCTTAGTTAATTCTCTATTGGGCCAGGGAAAAGATCTGGAAAAAGAAGAGTATTCTCTATGGAACATAGATTTTCCCCAGAAGAGACAGCTTTGCAGGGCCATTTCAGAATATGCCAAACATATATTTTGGGGTAAAATACTTTGATTTCCTTAGTGGCCAACTACCTGTCATGTGATGCTATATCAGAGTCGGGCTGAAAACTGGTGTCTTATTGTTACAAAAGGCCTGTTTCAATAGCCCTAAGATCTCTGTGTTGATTGTAATGCCACAGCTGTGACTGAATTCCAAAAGGAGGGGTACAATGGGGCGTGTCCAAAGCCCATTTCCCATCACAGCCTGAACTAGTTTTTCAGGTTAACTTTGAAATGCCCTTGGCTGAGAGGAAGGTCCATCAGTCAATTGGAGGGCTTAGGATTTTTACTTTTGGCTTACAGATTTAACAGATTTCAGTTTTTCTCTGCTGCACTGATACTTAGGTCCTATTTTTGCTTTCCCTGGCCTCCTCTTTGCTGTGTTTAAAAGCCCAGCTCCCAGGCCAAGCTTCCAGCAGGGTGGGTAAGTGGGAGGGGAAGAGGTGGGGTGGGGTAAGCACAGGGTAGATCAGGAGTGGATAGGCCCTGAGGAGGGGGAGCAAGCTCGCGGGCCAGGGACTATTTTCACTGCTTTTCTCAAGTCCAGTACGAATCCTGGCATGTCTACCCAGCAGCACAGAGTCCTTGGGCTAAAGTTGTTTGTATTCCTCCAATAATCCATCTGAAGGCCTTAAATCATGACTTCTGTTTCTTTGACTTCCCCACAGTGATGGTCCTAGACTCCCACCACTGGCTCATAGAAGTGGCTTCATTAATAAATGTGGTTAGACTGAAATTAATAATTTTTGTATTTTGTTAGACTGATTTCTTAAGTAATGGAAATACAGCTTTTATATTCATGCTCATGGTTACTCCAACTGAAATTACCTAAATACTCAAGAATGCAAAAAACAATTTGTGCTTTGAAGTGTTCAAATTTCCAAATCACCTTAAAGTGTATTAAAGATAATACTATTAATAATTAAAAAGTATGTACTGGTTGGCTATTTTAGAAATATATATATATGTGACAAGGTCTTGCTTCTCAGTTTGTTGCAGTGGCACAATCAGGGCTCACTGCAGCCTCAACCTCCTGGGCTCAAGTGATTCTCCCACCTCAGGCTCCCAAATAGCTGGGACCACAGGCGTGTGTCACCATGCCCAGCTAATTTTTGTATTTTTTGTAGACACAAGGTTTTACCATGTTGCAAAGGCTGATCTCAAACTCCCAGGTGCAAGTGATTCTCTTGCCTTGGCATCCCAAAGCGCTGGGATTAAGGGTGTGAGCCACTGTACCTGGTGTGGATTTTATATTTTTTAATATGTGTAATGTCTTTTCTCCAAACTTTTAATCTGTACATGGGCAATTCTAATTTTTTTAAGTATGTAAGAAAATGCTAGTTCTCATTTTTACTGCTCCAATGATCAACTTAGAGGCCAACCGAGGCATGCCACTGTCTGGAATTCAAGGAGTATGGAAGGAGGAAGAACTTACTTTTCCATCTGTTCTCCGAGATTCCGTGTCTGGGTCTCTGTGTAAACTGACGAAACACAAATTAACAAGAGGAAAACCAGGTGTAATGACACGTCAACACCTGGGATTTCGAAAAAAGTGTGGCTTAAGCAGGTGGTTAACTTTGGGGCTTCCAGATGATATTAAGGATGATGAAGTGTGGAGAAGAAGGGAGATGAAGGAAGGGAAGTTTGGTGCTTATGGGGGATGAGTTATGGGAATGCGAGTAGGATATGCAGGTAAGAGACGTTTACAAAGGTTTGTTATGCAGATAAGATTCATCTCAGGCAATAAGAGTTACTCTCAGGTAAGAGAGAAGAGGACACTTTCACAAATAGAAATTGCTTTTGTAAAAGTGAATTTCCTTTACCAAAGGGTTTTAGAGCTTTCCTTGCCTTTGCTGTTCCTCAATTGCCATCAACTCAAAATAATCCTCAGGCCAGAGTGGCATGTTTTCAGGTAGCATCTTCTGGTTGCCTTCAATGTCGTTGAGCAAAGGTTCCTACTGGAAACTCTTTTTCTCTGTCTCACTCTGATGAGTCACAGTGGCACTCGTTCTGAAGCGGTTATGATAGTGATCTGCTGAGGTAAGAGTTGGACTGTGGACCCTCTGTTCCATGAGTCACCATGAATAGCGGCCTTGGCGACCCCAGCTCCGGCCCGGCTGTCAGAGGTTGTAATGATCATCATTTCAGATTTGCCAGCTGAGGAGATGGTGGGCTTCTCCTAAGGCCCCTGTGATCACACAACTTTGGTAGCTCAGTTTGCGCTGGAACTGTGCACTGGTCACAGAGAAGCAGGGCTGTGTCTCCACGGTGCCTTCCTGCTGACCCACACCTCGGTGGCTCTGCTCACCATGTCCCCAGAGCGTCTTGTGTAGCTCTTTGGTCTTCCTAGACCGTGCCCAGGGTCAAAGCCTGGCCTTCAATCCCAGCTCAGTTTTCACCTGCAAACAAGGGCCTCTAACATGACTTTGACTGAAGTGCGTCTCTTTTTTATTTCCTTGTAAGACAGGTCTCATTTGCAGCTTTTAGGACCTCAAGGCAGAGACCTGTGTTTGTGTATTTTCTTCTTCTCCTTGCAATTTTGAAAAACATAGAAAGCAAAAAACAACCAAATAAATATCTTTTTGCTGAGTGTTTGCTACCATGTATGTCTGCAGGATGGCCTTGGAGAAGGCCAAATATCTTCTATTTGGTCCCCTATGAAAACCCAAAGTAAAAAATTAATAAAGCAATTTTAAGATGGGAACTTTTTATTATTATTATTATTATTCTGGAATTGAATTAAGGTTTGTCTTCCAGAGAAGCAAAGAAATCAATGCAAATTCCTTTTAAATATTCCTGTAAGCTAAAGGAATGCTTAATATTAAATTATATGAAAACAAATTATAAATTAAAACAATAAAACACTCTCTGACAGACAGGTACAAAATGATCTTGTAATTACCTTTATCTAGGAAAATAGACATAGAAACAGAGTGAATTTCTAAATTAGTTTGCTTATTAGAATGTATCTTATACAGAAGGGGGCATTATCTCTCTAATTAGAAAGAACCTGATGTTTTCAAAACATCCAAGCCAACACATTGTGAAATGTTAAATGAAAATGCTGAATTTCTCTACAAAAAAATAGATTGGAAAATTGGTATTTTGTTGGCTTAACTGAATCTGTTTAAGAAACACGCCTGCAATCCAAGCACTTTGGGAGACTTAGGTGGGGGGATCACCTGAAGTCAGGAGTTTGAGACCAGCCTGGCCAACATGGTGAAACATTGTCTCTGCTAAAAATTCAAGAATTAGCTAGGCATGGTGGTGGGCACCTGTAATCCCAGCTACTCAGGAGGCTGAGGGAGGAGAATTGCTTGAATCCGGGAGGTGGAGGTTGCAGTGAGCTGAGATGTTGTCACTGCACTCCAGTCTGGGCGACAGAAGGAGACTCTGTCTCAAAATAAATAAATAGAATACTTGTAGACAATCTATCATACACTTCCCAATACCACATACAAAGAATAGCAATAGCAATGCCCCCCACACCCAACGGGAAACACATCCAGATGGTGGGTTACCAGCATTGAGTCAGGGCTGGCCCCACAGTCCTCAAATTCTTGTCTTCTTGGGAGAAAAAAATTGGTCAAGAGACAGAAGTAGATTTAAGGCAGAAAGGAGAATGTATTGGAGCAAGGAGAAGTCCACTCAGAAGGAATGAAGCAGGCAGCTCCAAAGACTGACTGCCCCACCTGACTGTCGCTCAGGGCTACTATGGAGTTACTATCCTCTGTTGTTTATCCTGGTCTCTTTCCCTCGTCCTTCCCTTTGGGCAGGTTGTTGGCTAATCGCCCCGTGCGGTGTCTTGCTGGCGTCTGCAGGGGCCACACGCGCCATTTGTTGGTTTAAATTATGCGCATGCTGTCTAAGGGCAATTTTCCCTTACCAGTCTAGGACCCACACAGGAAGGTCATATACAGGTCAAACTCCGCCATTTTGCCCCTTACTGCGCAAGCCCGGACGTGTCCACAGGGGAAGGTCAAATGCTTCCTTTTTAAGTTCTTATTAGGAAGTCGTGGGCCACAGGCTCAGGATGTCTCCTGTATGTTAGGAAATTTTCTTTTCCCTGTTACCAGCCCCTTGACAGTCACCTGACATTCCTTGGAGCCTAGTCCTTCTCTGCTCTTGTAACCGCCCAATGGGTTCACCTTGCCTGCTGCCTAGACAGAGCCGATTCATCAAGACAGAAGACGTGCGTTAGAGAAATAGTAATTCACACGGAGGAGGCTGTGCAGGAGACTGAAGTTTTATTATTACTCAAATCAGTCTCTCTGAGCATTTGGGAGCAGAGTTTTTAAGGACAATTTGGTGGGTGGGGGGAAGCCGGTGAACCAGAAGTACTGATTGTTCAGGGATGAAATCATAGAGTTGAAGCTATTCTCTTGCACTGAGTCAATTCCTGGGTGGGGGTCACAAGATCAGATGAGCCAGTTTATCTGTCTGGGTGGTGCCAGCTGATCCATCAAGTGCAGGGTTTGCAAAATATATCAAGTACTGATCTTAGGAGCAGTTTGGGGAGGGTCAGACTCTTGTAGCTTCCAGCTGCATGGCTCCTAAGCCATAATTTCTAATCTTGTGGCTAATATTAGTCCTATAAAGGCAATCTAATCCCCAGATGAGAAGGAGATCTGCTTTGGGAAAGGACTGTTATTATCTTTGTTTTAAACTATAAACTATAAGTTCCTCCCAAAGTTAGTTCAGCCTATGCCCAGGAATGAACAAGCACAGCTTGGAGGTTAGAAGCAAGATGGAATCAATTAAGTTAGATCTCTTTCAGTGTCTCCATCATAATTTTGCAAAGGCATAATTTTGCAATTAAGTTAGATCTCTTTCACTGTCTCAGTCATAATTTTGCAAAGGCAATTTCACTCATCTCTGCCTGTCCACCTATTCTCACAGTGGTGGAGTCAGGGGGACAAGGGAGGGAATGGAGCTTTTGTTCTGGGGTCAACTCACTCATTCTGTAGCAGCAACAAATTCAAAGTCTCAGTGACTCACAGGCAGATGGTTTTTCTTACAGCTGCATTTCTCTCCTGAGTCACCTGCACTTGGGTGCCCCAGCTGGAAGAGACATCTTTATACCTGTTGCCCTGGGGAGAAACTTGATGGTTGGGTGCTAGCCGGCTCCACACAGGGGAGAAATTGTGCACACACTACATCCAATTCTGGGACAGGAATGGCAGAGGAAGAGAAGGCAGGGCAGCAAATATTTGGGAACAAGAACACAGCCAGTTACAGTGTGAGGGAGATAAATCATCGTGTTAGAGGGTATTAAACCGAGATGGCTCTTGGTGTTATGCCATTAGTCCATTAATGGAGGAGCCTACATAACTCCATCTCAGGTGTGTGGTCATGCAAAGAAAGACAGAAGGACAGTCTGGCATCTGACAGGTTGTGCAGTTAGATTGATTAATCTGAACCCATTTAATATCATAAATAACATTAGATTGACATGATCAAGGTTTGATGGATAGGAGCTTTAAAATCCCCACAAACATTACATATCTCTTTTTGAAATCTGGCTTTATGGGACAACAGCACATTTTTGGTTTTAGGGGTCAAGAGAGCATCATCAATAATGCATATGGGGTAAAGTCACATCGTCGTTTGTGTTGCACTGATCTGCTAAGTAAATTCTATCGTGTTGCAAAAGGTGGACATTTTGCTGAAAAATGTGTATTTCTTGATATCACACTAGGAATGCATTTTGTAAATATCCACCCAAAGACAGCGTTGGATAGAGTAAGCAGCTGTGACAATGTGAACATCAGGAAGGCAGGCCAGTGTGCTGGGAGAAAGGGGCACTCTCTTTAAGCCGCTGCTTTGTAAGCTTCAGAGATGCATCCGGACAGAGACAGCAACAGGAATTTGTGCCTCCATTGTAGCCATGCCCTGGGGGCATGCCAGCCCAGTTAAGGCACCAGTCCACGTGGAAATGTTGGGCACACACTGGCCTTTGCTGCCTGACACAGAGTCAGACCAGCACCTTGAGCCAGGCGGTCTTCAGGACAGAGCCAGCTGTGGGGTCATTCTGTGTGGCTTCCCAGACAGTTAGCCAGGTGGAAGGATATTTGCTGTCTGCAAGTCTCTCAAGCTACAGAATTGTGGTTTGGTGGAGCATGCAAATGTGCGACCCTCTCTTTCTAGAAATCCCGAGTGTGCAGTTGTCACTGGGGTCCACAGCTGGGAAGACATGCAGCTAAATGCACTCTCAGGTCATGTCTTCCTCTGTGCAAGGCTTCCCACGGTTCCTGGCTGCACTGACAAGACCCACCACCCACAGCCTCTGCGCATCCTGGGGGCTCAGCTCAGCTGCCGTGGAGTGAGCCCTGTAGCAGTACTTGTAACTGGCATAAGGGGTCCCCTCCCAAAACTTGCAGGAAATCTTTTGGCAGAAGCAGAAGCTCCGTACTGAGACGTTCAGAGTGAAATGTTCTTGTTCTTGTTGCCCTGTGTTTTGGAGTCATTAAATCACAACTGGGCTCACCTCTGCTGTTCAGGACAATCATTCCGGTCCTTACCTTTCACCAGGGGAAACTGTGGGTGTGGATTAAGATCTTGCATTGTGAGAGAAATGTCTAGCACCTTCTTAGAGTTATAGGGGAGAATTGGACCTCATGCATTATAAATTGTGTTCACATATTAGCTTTATTTAATGTGACTCTAGTCTTTGGACCAATGACTATTGAGTTTTAAAGTATAGATAGACCAATGAGAATTTGATAGTTATTTTTGAAAAGTCAATAACATGATGGCTTTATGTATCCTGGTAAGTGAAATATAGACTAACTTATAGAAGTTATTGGAAGGCATATTTTTTTCTAAGAAAAACTTTGAAAGATCTATGAGCTGGCCAAAGAAGGAACGTACTGTCTCAGGAGGCAGTATGTCCTATCCCTGGACACGTTCAAGCACAGGGTAACTTACTGTTTGGCTGGATTTTTGTAGAATGGATTAAAGTATCAAATCATTGTTTATCGTTCAGTAGAGTTTTTTTGTTTGTTTTTGGTATAGTTATATAATTATTGATCTACCCAAAATCTTTATTAACCTTTTAACTGTGCATATAGCATACACCAGTTCCTGTGTTGGCTAGTTATACCAAGAGGTGTTAATTTTAGTATTCCCATGCTCAGCTTTCTAACTAGAGAATATTCTATGTCAAAAGGAATAAGGTCCAAATGTGGCCGAATGTATTTAAACCTATCTTAATTACAAGGAAAAGTGTAAAAAGTAAACTTCCACATCTAGATAGCCCTAGAGACTGCCAGCTATATTCATTTGTCATTCTGGCGAGGATATATTTTTGATGATTGAATTTGCATTTATCTCGTGCCGAATGGTTTTGAGGTCTTGGCTGTGAGTGCACCATTTGGCATCTTCTGGGAAGAGCTTGCGCAAGTCCTGTGCTTATTCTTAATGGAGTTGTTTATCATTTCTCACAATAATTTGTAGCAGGTGTTCATGCATCTAGGGTAGGAGTCATTTGTTGGATAAATAGATTTCAGGTCTTTTCTTCTGTTCTGGCTTTTTCTTTCATTCTCTTTATGGTACTTTTTTTGATAAGCTGAGATTTTCAATTTTAATGTAGTCCAGTTATCCTTGTCTCTTTTTATGATTAGTGTTTTCTGTTGTTTAAAAAAATACTATTCTGGTATATTCTAATATTGTTCTACTTTCTATGTTTAGTTATATTAACCATCTTTAACCAAAACTCTCATATTCCTTCCTGGTAGGCCTGATTCATGCCTTTGAAAAACTGGCAGTGTCCACTAAACTAACTTGTAAGTATCTCCTAACACACAGCATTTCCACCACTAAATAAATACTCAACAGAAACAGATTTGTATTCACCCAAAGACACTACAGCTTAAAGTTTATAGCAGCCTTAACCACGTTAGTCCAATGCTGGAAGAAACTCAAATAGCCATCAAATAAGAATGGGCAAATAGATGGTGGCATGTTCTTGTAATTAAACACTACACTGCAAAGAAAAGAAGAAAATTACTTGCAACGACACGAATGGATCTCAAAAACATTATGTTGAGCAAAGAACGCCAAGAACAAGCATGTACATACTGTTGGGGACCATTTCTTGCCATTCAAAAACTGGCAAAACTAATGTATGTCAGTGAAGATGAGAATAATGGTTACCTTTAATGCTAACACAAGTATTGACGTAAGGAGCGTGGGTGCATATTTGGGGGTACTGAACATGTTCTTTATCCTGATCTTGGTGTGGTTCCACAAGACTAAACATATGTGAAAACTGACCAAGGTTTACACTTGAGGTTTGTGAACCTAAACAAAGTCAATCACACTTAAATTAAGAATCAAAGGAAAAGATCTCAATTTGTTTAACAAGGCAATAGCAGCCATGTTAACAATAACAACCTCAGAAGGTGCTCGAGTTATAGCTAAAGGACTTAGTTCTGAGCTTCGTATGTTTAAAACATGTATGCAAAATTGCTAAGTATGTCTTGGGTCACTTTGCAACATCCTGGGAGATTTTAAGCCCATGGAAATATAGGGACCAGAAGGTGGCCCTTGAAAATCAAATCATCTGCTGTGTCACTTCCATAGATTTTCTGATCATGCCCCTTTCTATGAAAAAATTAATTTCCCAAGTGAAACAGTTCTTCCTCTGAATTGACTTTGGCTTAAAACAACAGCTTTAAAGGTAACTGCATAGACAAAATGGTGCAAGGAAACATGCAATCCACCCACTAAGGAGGAACAATGAGTTAGTTACATGTTTTAATGGCTGTGGCTAGGATTCGACTGTTGAAAAAGGCTGGGATCTCTGGAAGTGATGGTGACAGGAAGCAGCCAAATGCCTAGGCAGATAGGGGCAGGTACCAGGTACCCAATGACCCCTACCATCAAGCCAAAGACAGTTTAAAGCCTAAAAGCCGAGCTACAGGTTAAATCCTCAGACTGGATTGAGAACCTGTCTTCCAGTTCTCGGACTGGACTGTGAACCTGTCTTCCTGTTCTCACACTGGATTGATAACCTGTCTTCCTGTTCTCGAACTGGATTGATAATCTGTCTTTCTGTTCTTTGACTCGATTGAGAACCTATCTTCCTGTTCTCAGACTGGATTGAGAACCTGTCTTCCTATTCTCAGACTGGATTGGGAGCCTGTTTTCCTATCCTCAGACTGAATTGAGAAATTATCTTCCTGTTTGGTGTGCTTTCCTTGGATTGATCCCCACCCTTCACCTATTTTACATATACCTCCCCTTTCCTAATTGGTTTTCCACACTGTTGTGCCAGCCTTTGAGTGGTGTCTTCACTTTAAACTTTTTTGCATACTCACAAACCAATCAGCATGCACCTTCCATCCTGTGCCTACAAAGAGCCCAGACTCACTTGGTAGAGTAGGAGACAACCTGAGCTCGGGGAAGATGACCGGCCCTTTCTATCCCCTCTCCAGCTCCCCTTTCTGCTAACAGCCATTTTCATTGCTCAATAAAACTCTCCACCTTCATCATCCTTCAATTGTCTGTGTGAGCTCATTCTCTGTGGATGTCAGAAAACAGCTTGGGACCCACTGAGTGTGGGTACCCAGAAAGGCCGTCACACCAGTCCTTTGCCTTTACCAGTCGGGGCAGCAGCTCAAGGCAATGAGTCAAGGGGCCAACTGAGCTGCTAACACACTGCCGTCCGTGGATGGCAGAACTAAGAAAGCACTGCAACACCTGCTCTGGGGCTTTGGGATCGCAGGCACCTCCTCCTGGGCACCACTGCAGGCTTTGCATGGAGGTTTCTCCTGTGTCAACACCGGAGCTGTCAGCCTGGACACCGTACTTGCTCACTTATGTGCTCCTTCCTGCAAGGGGCTGAGCACAGCAGGCTGAATGGAGGGGCTCCCCTCCCACTTGAATGCTCCCTCCCAACATGAACGCTCGTGGTTGGTATCTGACTCAGCACAGCCTTCCTTTCACTGCAGTGTGGACTTAGAATCCCTCATATCAAAGCAGCATAGGCTGGCTCCCAAATGACACAAGTTCACTTGAGGTAACAGCTCCGCTTTCAAATTCTATGATGTTGTTTCAAGTGCCATATTCAACTCAAAAAAGGTAAATTTAATGAGTTGCATGATTCAAGTTGTCCATGAGATAGAGCAGACCCATAGCTCAGGTGGAGTACACCAGGCAATAGGAACGCCCTCACATTGCCTCGGTGACGGCTCTCCCAGGACCCCTGCTCATCACGTGCTCTGCCCTGAAGCACCTCATGAACCACAGGCAGTTCTGTAGGAGACGAGTTCAGTGTGGCCCAAGCATCAGAGTTTCCGTTGGCGTAGCTTGATTTGGTGATCACTTTGGAAATATCTACGACTCTGGAGGAATATGTTTTCCTTTCAACAACACCCTCAATGTGTTTTCCTTTAGAGATTAAGATGTATTAATTTATCAATGAATAGATTAATTAAGTGCTCAAGGTTTTCTCCTTTATAAGTATCTATATTCTTTACTGGTACAGAACTTTATGCTTAACAGAAAATCCAATCGAGTTGCTGGTGGGGCCAACATTATTTCCTTGAATGTGGGAGCTGAAAAAGTCAACCACCTGAATGGAGCATGAGTAGAGGAATCACCTTTGACGGGTCAGGAAACCCTGCAGGAGTGCATTCTACAGGAAGCACCTTTGACGGGACAGGAAGCCCTGCAGGAGTGCATTCTACAGGAAGTACCTTTGACGGGTCAGGAAACCCTGTAGGAGTACATTCTACAGGAAGCACCTTTGACAAGTCAGGAAGCCCTGCAGGAGTGCATTCTACAGGAAGTACCTTTGACAGGTCAGGAAGCCCTGCAGGAGTGCATTCTACAGGAAGTACCTTTGATGGGTCAGGAAGCCCTGCAGGAGTGCATTCCGTACTAAGACACCACTGCATCAGAAGAGAAACTGTGCTGGAGTTCCCAAGAGTGCTAAAATGAACCCAGTTAAGGTGAAATACAAGCAGGAGTGTTTCTGATACATATTTTTAGGGCAAGCTTTCCTCCTCAAAACACAATGAGGAATTGTGTTTTATAAATTTGCACTTAAAACTGTTGTTTCATACTGATCTGCTTCTAAGTGTATTTACATTAATACCAGCTTCTGCAGGGAAATTGCAATATCATAAACATGAAAAATTCATGATTCATGTCATTGCTAATAAAGACCCTATAACCAGAATGCTGAAAATATTCACAATCGAGAAAATAAATTAATATTTTAATGAAACCGGAGAACGGGGGTACATTTGAGATCATGTTATAATCAGTTGTCATGTTTTATGTTTAGGTCGCAAAGTTTACAGTTGTCAAAACTTGCTCAAATAGTAAAGAAATGGCTCTAATAATTGAATTTGACAATTTAAACTCAATTGTAGTATATTAAAACATTATTTCCAGGGAGGTCTTGAAAGATAGTTTGTGCCTAATAGGAAGGGTAGCATAATTTTAAATGACGGGCAGAATACTCCAAAAATTATTATGCGTAGGAAAATATTTACATTATTAGGATTAAGAAACAGGCAGTCGAAATAGAATTTGGTTTAAATTATGGGCACATGAAATTTGAAATGCAAGGAGGGAAAAAGCTCATTTTTTTTATAGCCTGGTTTCTTAGGAATGGTTTTAAATAAGATTTATTGTCAACGTTTTCATTGTGAAATGTTAATAAAGCATCAAATATTTGAAAGATTTAATAGAAGACAAAGGACGTGCCTTGTTTGTTGAGCCCACCAGTTAAAACTTTATGTTATTTCTGTCCAGTAAACCTTTATGGAGTTTCTACTCTGTATTCAGCTTATGTCACTGTGAGAATTCAAAGGCAAGTGATCAGTTGTTCTTGGCCTCAAACCCCCCAACAAGGCAGTGCAGGAGAGGACCCAGAAGGGGGCTGCAGAGGGCAGGTGGGCGGACGGGGGCCATGGGCACTGGGAGGGGCCCCTGGGGCTGTTATCCACCATGGTGGAGAAGGGAAGGTGGGTCTCTGGGCATAGGTGGTGTGGAAAACCAACCCAATCATTCCATCTGGATACTTCTTTCAGTCCCTTATGGGGAGTCACTGATATTTATTCAAACATTCTGTGTGCTTGCTTCACATGCCTGCTGTGAACACTGCAAGTCTGTACACGGCTTGCCGAGAATGCAGGTTCTGCCTCAGAGACGAGACTTCTTGGCATTGCGAATCGATGTACACGTGACTTCTCCACACAGGCCTCACTCCTCAGCATGGGGCAGCAGGACCCGGCGTCCAATCCAATCATGATGTTGGCCTTTTGGGGAGATTTAGGAGGAAGATTATGGTGTCAGCTTCATAGACAAAAAGATGGGGTTCTAGGAGACTCTAGTGACAGAATCAGCACTTCAGCAACAGTCTTCTGACCACCTTTCCACCTATTTGTCCATTTGAGTTATGGAAGTCTGTTAAGGAAAGCATAAATAAGGAATTGGAATAAAGTTCTCCATTGGAGTCCTGCACCCTTGCTGGTGGATAAACAAGCTTTATACTTTGAAGTGGCTGAAAAGGTATACTCTCACTTTTGTAAACATTCAGTGTTGTTTTGTTTTGTCTTTTTCTCTCTCCCTCCTGTTACTGCTGTTCCAATCATTAGAACGGTATAACTGTTGCTCGTGATAATTTCCTATCAGGAGAAATTTAGTGATGTCTGAACCTGGAAACTCTTGAGAACAAACCTCCAGCAGCATGAAGTTTCGGGAAGACAGGCTGCTCTCTGCAAGGATGGAGAGAAGTCACCCGGGGCTGCCTCGGGACTATGTGTGTCTCCATTCATGAAAACCAGAATGATTTAGAACCAGAATGTGGGATACCTTGATGTGGCCCTCCCCTTTTGGCCCCGGCACAGCACACAGTCCCGTTGCTGGTTCCCACTCCACTCCTGTGGAAGGTTCCAGAACCCACAGAGCCTTGCCAGCAGTCCCGCCAGTGCTCACTGGGCTTCCTTGCTGCTGTTCCAGGGCCTCCCTGGCACTGGCATCTTACCTCTCCTGCCCTGCTCTTTCCTGGAAGCATGCCCCAAATAGAAGCAAGAGGAAGCAGCCTTCCCCTCCACACTATTGCCCCAGCTCAGACCACAAGGGGTTTTGTCATTTACCAAACACACCAGGATACTTTCTGCCTCTAGACCCCATTTTATCTTCTCTGCCTGTGGGATTCATTTTCGAAACAGGCCTTTCACATCTGGGCAACACAGACGTCTGCCTGACTCCCACCAGGGTGCTTGTCCTGGGAGGGAGCTTGTCCGGGGAGGGAGCTCGTCCCAGGAGGCAGCGCTTTGCTGGTTTGGTGGGGCCTGATGTCTCTCCTTCCTCCCATCTGGGAAGCCACTTGAGGGCAGCCTCTGACTGAACAGGGTGCATTCCTAGCACCCACAACAGCACTGTCCTATGTGCTGGGCTCTGTAATTATTTGTTGAAGAGATGCATATTTAAGTCAGATTTTTTAAAATGAAAGCTTAACATAACATCATGGAGTACACTGTTAAAATCCTTTAAGTCACCTGTTTAGAAATATTAGGGCCCTACATTGTTGGATGCCAATCCATAAAGACACATCGCACAGAAGTCAACACAGGACTTTTCTGAGAGCCGCTGGCCTGGCCTCTGTCCTCCGTCCTCCCTCCTCGCCGGCCCGGCTTCTTTAAAGCAGAATGCACGAAGTTTCCAGAGCAAGTGGAGCCCGGCTTCCCTGAAGGAGATTGCACCGAAGTCACAGACCGAGTGATGTCTGGCTTCCATGAAGGTGATTTCACATGGAGTTCACAGACCGAGTGGCGCTGGCTTCCCTGAGGAGAGTGGAAAGAGGTCACACGCTGAATGGACCTGGCTTCTCTGAAGGAGATTGCACCAAGCTCACACACCACGTGGTGCCTGGGTTCCCTGAGGAGATTGCACCCAGGTAACAGACTGAGTGGTGTTCAGCATTTCTGAGTGGAATGCACCAAGGTCACAGAGCCCGGCTTTCCTGAAGGAGATTACATGGAGTTCACAGAGCAAGTGGTACCCGGCTTCTCTGAGGAGAATGCACTGAATTCACACTCCAAGTGGTGACCGGCTTTACTGAGGAGATTGCACTGAGGTCACAGACAAAGTGGTGTCCGGCTTTCCTGAAGGAGAGTGCATGCAGTTCACAGAGCGAGTGGTACCCGGCTTCCCTGAGAATGCACTGAATTCACACACCGAGTGGTGACCAGCTTCTCTGAGGAGAATGCACTGAGGTCACAGACTGAGTGGTGCCTGGCTTCCATAAATGAAAACGCACTGAGATCATAGACCGAGTGGTATCTGGCTTTCCTGAAAAGGAGTCGGCACTGAGGTCACAGAGTGAGTGCTGCTGGCTTCTCTGAGTTGAACGCACCGAATTCACACACGGAGTGGTGCCTGGCTTTACTGAGGAGAATACACTGAAGTCACAGACTGAGTGGTGCCAGGTTCTCTGAGGAGATTGCACCGAGGTCATAGACCAAGTGGTGTCCGGCTTTCCTGAAGGAGACTGCATGGATTTCACAGACTGAGTGCTGCTCGGCTTCTCTGAGGAGAATGCACCAAGTGGTGTCCGGCTTTCCTGAAGGAGATTGCATGAAGTCCACAGACCAAGTGGTGACGGCTTCCCTGAGGAGAATGCACGGAGTTCACAGACCGAATGGGTGCTGGCTTCCCTGAGGAGATGGTACCGAGGTCACAGACCGAGTGGTGCCCGGCTTCCACGAAGGCGATTGCATGGAGTCCACAGACCAAGTGGTGATGGCTTCCCTGAGGAGAATGCACCAAAATCACAGACCCAGTGTTGGCTGACTTCCCTGAAGGAGACCGCACGGAAGTCACAGGCTGCGTGTTGGCTGGCTTCCCTGAGGAGAATGCAACCAGGTCACAGACCAAGTGGAACGCAGCTTCTCTGAGGAGAATGCACCGAATTTACCCCAAGTGGTGCCCGGCTTCTCTAAGGAGATTGCACTGAGGTCGCAGACTGAGTGGTATCCAGCATTTCTGAGGGGAATGTACCTAGATCATAGACGGAGTGGAGCCCAGCTTTCCTGAAGGAGATTGCATGGAGTTCACAGAGCTAGTGGTGCCCCTCTTCTCTGAGGAGACTGCACCGAATTCACACACTGAACGGTGCCGGGCTTCACTGAGGAGACTGCACTGAGGTCACAGACCAGGTGGAGCCCGGCTTCCCTGAAGGAGAATGCACTGAAATCACAGACCGAGTGGTGCCACCTTCTCTGAGGAGAATGCACTGAGGTCACAGACCGAGTGATGTCCAGCTTCCCTGAAGGAGATTGGTTGGAGTTCACAGACCGAGTGGTGCCGCCTTCTCTGAGGAGAATGCACTGAGGTCACAGACCGAGTGGCGCCAGCTTTTCTGAAGGAGATTGCAGGGAAGTCACAGGCTGAGTGTTGGCTGGCTTCCCTGAGGAAACTGTAACCAGGTCCCAGACCTGGTGTCCAGCTTTCCTGAAGGAGACTGCGCCGAGTTCACAGACCGAGTGGTGTCGGCTTCTCTGAGGAGATTCCACCAAAGTCACCGACCAAGTGGTGCACAGCTTCACTGAGGAGACTGCACCCAGGTCACAGACTGAGTGATGTCCGGCTTCCCTGAAGGAGATTGCACCAAGTTCACAGAGCAAGTGGTGTCGCTTTTCCTGAAGGAGATTGTGCTGAGGTCACAGGCTGAGTGGTGTCCAGATTTCCTGAGGAGAATGCACCAAGGTCACAGACTGAGTGGCGTCCGACTTCCGTAGGGGAGAGTGCGCTGAGTTCACACACTGAGTAGTGTCTGGCTTCTCTGAAGGAGAATGTGCTGACGTCACAGACCTAGCGGTGCTTTTGTATCACTCTCCGCTGGTGATTCTTCGCCTGTCTGCAGGGTTCTCACTGCCGTTTCTGCCTGACAAACTCCTACTTATTCAACACCTCCCAGCTCACACTCAACTTCTCTGCAGAAGCTTCCAATTCCTTATCCCGCCTGTCTGCAGGGTTCTCACTGCCGTTCCTGCCTGACAAACTCCTACTTATTCAATACCTCCCAGCTCACACTCAGCTTCTCTGCAGAAGCTTCCAATTCCTTATCCCTCTGCCAAAGTTACTTGTTCTCTTCTCTGAGCTGTTTTGCACTTTGTTCATGCTTTGGGTGGTAGTTTTGAAGTCGGTCCTCCCGTGGTGACTTCTTCAGGGCAGCCTGTGCACCATGTGTTTTTAATTCCACAGTGGCCCGGGTCCCCCTAGGGCAGGGGGTCCCCAACCCCCCAGGCCATGGACCACTATCTGTCCCTGGCCTTTTAGGAGCTGACCTGCACAGCAGGAGGCGAATGGTGGAGGGCGAACAAGTGACGCTTCCCCTGTATCTACGACTGCACCCCATCACTCGCATTACCACCTGAGCTCTGCCTCCTGTTAGATCAGCAGTGACACTATATTCTCATAGGAGCTCAAACCCTGCTGTGAACTGCGTATGTGCGAGATCTAGGTTGTGCGCTCCTGCTGAGAATTTAATGCCTGGTGATCTGCCACTGTCCCCCATCATCCCCAGATGATACCATCTAGTTGCAGGAAAACAAGCTCGGAACTCCCACTGATTCTGCATGACAGTGAGTTGCATAATTATTTTATCTTACAATGTAAAAATAATAGAAATATAGTGCAGAATAAATGTAATATGCTTGAATCATCCTGAAACCATCTCCCATGCCCTGTCCATGGAAAAATTATCTTCCTCAAAACTGGTCCCTGGTGCCAAAAGATTGGGGGCTGCTGCCCTAGGGCGTTGTTTGTGACCTTGTCAATGGCTCGATGGTGCCAACAAAGGTGACAGCTCCTCACAAACAATCTATGCACACTGATTACTCTGTAGAGCCCTGGAGGGTCTTTGAGTGGTTTCACATGTGCCGAATAATAATAATAATAGCAATGAAAACTTCAGATTGATATCGTAATATTATATTGTACAATATTATATGATGTACCAGCTGAATCAATGAATTTGGTGCATGCCCAACTTAAAATGCTTTCATTTCTCTTTCATATTCAGGAAAACGTAATGGACATTACATTCTTTAGAAAAATGATTAAACATCTAATAGAAATCTAACACATTAAAATAGTTTTTAAAATGTGTTCTGATGATATTTCTCATCATAATATAATTGAATGCCTACTCGGCAACAAAGCAAAATGAAACAACAAAAACAAAAATGACAAAGAAGAGCAAAAAAAGAGACAAAGACAAAAAGAAAAAGAAGGGGAGGAAAGAAAGAAATAAGTGAGGAAGGGAAAGGGGAAGGAAGGAAAGAAAGAAAGAAGAAAAGAAGAAAAGAAAATTGAACATTTTGGCCTATGCACAACTCAAAGTTTCATAGATCACTCTGGTTACAAACCACTTATAGAGAGACTTAAACACTTCTGAATATTATGACTAGTCTTTAAAAACTAAAATTCGACGGAAGCATTACCATTTTTGCTATGCCAGAACTGTGTGCAATGATAATGAAAACATTAAAAAGTAAAATTAAATGTTATATTTTATATAATGTGTGTGTGTGTAAATCAGCCATTAGCTTTAGGAACTTAAAATATTTAATGGAAGCAAACAGTGTTGTGTTTCATCATACCGAGTAAATCTGTTCTTAAGATAAACAATTATGATTACGATTTGGTGTCAGATGAAAGTAGATAATTTTTACAAATGCCTAAATTGATTTGTTAATTCTTGATTTTGTTTCTTAGGCAATTGAAGCTTAAGTGACTTGGTTTGTGTTGAAGTACGCATTGAAGGATTCTTTCAGACAGCACAAAATTCACCATTTTTTTTTTTGTCCTTGGGTAGGCTTGAGGGTCTATAGATAGGGCTTTGCTCTTTATATAAAATGAAATCAGCTCAGACACTCTTAAATACCGCTAATAAGTTACATATTCCTCTGCCTTTAATGCTTTACACATTAGTATAATCTGGAAGTGACAAGTGACTTTTGGAAATAATTCACTAATAAACTCTTTTTTACCTTAGAATGAGATTGTGAATCGTAGCATTTAACTTGGAACTGAATGTTACTGTTTAATTTCTTTAGCAGGCAGATGCTGAACTTTTCTTATTCCAATCTTGAAATATCTGACCTCTAAAACTCACCAGCTCAGAAAAGATTATCTTGGTATTAAAAGATTTGTTAGCTCTGTTTAAAAGGTCTATTTGCCGTCCTCACTGCATCTGTAAGCCTCCTGGGTAGGGGATTGTCGCTTCAGCGACTCTCTGACCTGTGCCCCTCTCTTCCGCCCTCTGGCTGTGATGCTAGTTTGACTTCATCACGTAGAAAAATTACCACACGACTTGGACCCAGAGGGTCATAGAAGTGTCCTGTGTTCAACTTATTTTTCTACATCAGGTCTAGCTAAATTCCTTTGCAGTAAATCTTTGAATGACTACTCTGAGAATTAATAGGTGGCATGTTATATTAAGAGATAGAGTTATTTCATTTCGGTCTGGTATATTTGTCTACAACTGCTGTTCAAAAGCTTTTGCAAAATGAGGACTGATGAAGCTTCTGTTAGAATTATTTTTTTCCTTGGGAATCATGAGAATTTAGTATAATTACTATTAATTTTTATCAGGTGCTTTGTTAAAAGTAGACAATTTTAGACCATGGCCACTTATTTTTTTCTTTAGAAAATATGTGCCAGGCACTGTGGCTCACGCCTGTAATCCCAGCACTTTGGGAGCCTGAGGTGGGTGGACCATGAGGTCAGGAGTTAGAGACCAGCCTGGCCAATATGGTGAAACCCCATCTCTCCTAAAAATACACAAATTAGCTGGGCATGGTGGCACATGCCTGTAATCCCAGTTACTAGGGAGGCTGAGGCAGAAGAATCGCTTGAACCTGGGAGGCAGAGGTTGAAGTGAGCTGAGATCACTCCACTGTACTCCAGCCTGGGTGACAGAGCGAGACTCTGTCTCAAAAAAAAAATAAAGAAAAAGAAAAAGAAAATATGTTAACCATATTCTTAAATTTAATTAAAATGAAAGAGTTGAATTAACACTCCTTTTTCTCAATCAAAAAACAAACCAATTTGATTAAATATAGATAGATAAGTGGAGACAGATAGATAGACACAGGTATAGATATAGACACCTTAGCTACATAATCCAGAAACTAGAGAGATTTGGCCAACTCTATTCCAACAGTGTCTTCAGTATGTTTACAATTAACTAGTATACTAGGAAGCATTACAGTAATCACTTATACAAAGCTATACTTTCCAATCCAATATTGACTATAATGCATATTTTAAGTGAAAATGAATTAAGTCTGCTGTGAGAGTAAAAATGTGAAGAGTTAATTTGAACAAAAAAAGGACAGTAGGACATTTTTAAAAAATGAATTATAGAAATAAAAGGAGCATGTAGTGATTTTTGTTTCAGAAGAAGGAAGACTATATTTCAGTGAAATTAGAAGAAAATGAAGATAATTATATACTCACCAGCAAAGGAAAGCTTCCCCAAAGAATTACAAAGTGAATAACACCAGCCACATGTCACAGAACAGGATTTTATATCACCATAAAGCCAGTCCAGAGGTAACAGGTGCTGCACACATCACTGAGGTGTCACCCAGCAGCAGGTACATCCCTAGAGGAATTATCAGATGGAGAGAAAAGTGAGCCCCAGAGCTGTCAGGATAGCTGCAGCCAGTTGAGGTGCATGAAACAGTCCCTGCTTTGTGCTCTTGTTGCAGGGCAAGCAAACCCAAAATTGGGGCTCAGCCTGGGAGGGTTCTAGGCTTCATCCAGGAAAGAATTCAAAGGTGAGCCAGTGGTGTTGATAACAACTTTTATTGAAGTGACAATGCACGACAGCAGCAGAGGTCCTGCTCCTTGCAGAGCAGGGCGACCCCACAGGCCGTGTGCTGAGTGGCAGCTCAGAGGCAGTGCTGTGCTCAGAGCTACGCGCACTCATATTTGTGTTTTTGCTCATATTTCACGTGACTTCATTGAAGAGGACAATATTTGAAAGCATGGTCCCAGGATGGCATTAGGATTTCTGACGCTTTACATTAAAAGTTTTATTTGCTCTTGATTCATGTTTTCAAAACAATTGATATACTCTGAGACTATTTATTTTGAGCAGAGAATGGACCCAGAAATACTTTTCACAAAGTTCAAACTGTTAATTATATGCTAATTAAGGGGCGGGTTATGCGTCAATTTCTAGACAAAGGGTGGGAACTTTCAGTGTTGCCACGGAAAGGGGCAGCAATTTGTAGGTGTTGCATGGCAACAGCAAACTGAGATGGCACTGGTGGGGTGTCTTGGGGAGAGGTGCCTTTGCATCTTCCCTGTTTCTGGCAGCTTTCAATCTGGTCTGGAGTCCAAGCCCTACTTTCAGATTCAAGTTCTGCTTCCTACCTCACTAGGAGTTAGATAAATACTAGTTGAATCTTTGAATCAGTGGATAGGTGAATTACTACCTCCAAGGCCAAACTTAAGCATTGGGTTAAGGTTTTACATGAGACTATCAGAGGAAAATTTGTGCTGAATTTAATTAGAAAAATGGAAAAACAACAGCCCCATAAATATGTGAGCATTCCCCCAGGACACAGACAATCTGCAAAAACTAATAATGAAAGCTCCGCCCAGGAAAATTTGCCATAATTCCTATAAGTATTTGCCTCAGGTAAGGCAAGGTCTAACGAATCTTAAGAACTCAAATGGGACACTCTGAGATAAGGCAGTGCAGGGTGACCCACAGAGCCTTGTGTGCCGCCAGGGTTCTCTTGGGAAGATCAGGCAGATAGATTTGGATATGTAGATATATAGTTATAGATATAGACAGAGCTATGCAGGTAGCTGTAGATACAGTGATAGAATAGAGTCATATGTGCAGATAGGGACAGAGATAGAGACACAGATATTTAATAGACACAGATACAGAGACAGAAATAAAATAGAGATGAAGGTACAGACAGAGATACAGATGTAAATATACATACAGCTATTTATTTTCAAATTCTCTCTCACCAGCTTCCCCTGCTTATACCATTTTTCGAAGTACAGAAGACAATCTCGGCGTCTTTTCTTCAGGTCCTTTCTTGAACCACATTACAACATCTGAGATAGGCAACTAGAATTCACTCTAACAAAGCCCTGTTGTCTGTTTTTCTCTCTCGTATAAGCAAAAGCCTGCTGCGTGCTGTTCCAGGCTGGGCACCTGTCAGCTGGACTGGTCTAGCATGTGAAGGACTCATTGTGCTGGAAGAATTTCAAAACCCACTTTCTAGGGTAGCAGAAGGCCACAGCCTCAGGTCATTAATGTGTAACCAGAGCACAGCAGGCTTTTGGAGTCCACAGCGAAGGGTGTACACCTGTGTGATGGGGACGTGGCTGCAAGGCACAGAGGCCTGGGGGAGACCCTGGAGACTCCTGAGTTGTGTGACATAAGGGTCAAAGCTGTGGATTCCTTAGCTGTTTAATAGAGACCAGCATTATTATCTCTTGGAATTGTTGTAAGCTGAAACAGCATAATTGCTTAGACAAATTGGAGTGCCAACTCTTGACTTCTTATCTTACTCCCTGTTCCTGCATGGGCATGAGAGCCTTTGTTATAAAAGAAAATACTGGAGGGGCTGGGCATGGTGGCTGACATCTGTAATCCCAGCACTTTGAGAGGCAGAGGCGGGCAGATCACTTGAGGTCAGGAGTTCAAAACCCACCTGACCAACATGGTGAAACCCCGTCTCTACTAAAAATACAAAAACTAGCCAGGCATGGTGGTAGGCGCCTTTAATCCCAGCTACTCCTACTCAGGAGACTGAGGCAGGATAATCACTTGAGCCTCGGAGGCAGAGATTGCAGTGAGCTGAGATAGTGCCATTACACTCTAACCTGGACGACAAAGCAAGACTTTGGAAATTGAAACACGACTTATAGGAATGATGTTAATGGAGCTTGGAGGCAGGAGAAGAAATGAATGGCACAAAGGAGGGGAGGAAGAGGACATTCTTGCCAGAGGAACCCGTGTCCTAAAGGGCCTCTCAGGGGAAGGGGCACAAGGTGTTCAGGAAGCAGCTAGTGTGCGTGACAGGCCGCCCGCCGGGGGCTGGGGGATACACAGGCCCCACCACGGACAAGCTGGGCAGGGCCTGGCACCATGATGTATTGTGCCCTGCTTAGCAGAGTGACAGGAACTTTAAACCACTTCATATAATTTAGGAAGCTTTCTGAAATGAGGACGGTTGAGAGGAAAGGCATGGGGGAAAAAAAGGCAAATTTCTTGTCATATCATTAAAGCTTTCCAAGAGTCTCCAACATATCAAATTATTTGCATTGTTTACGGAGGGCCATGGCTCATGCTTGTAATCCCAGTTTTGGGAGGCTGAGGCAGGAGGATATCTTGAGCCCAGGAGTTCGAGACCAGCCTGGGCAACATGGTGAGACCCCATCTCTATAAAAAGTACAAAAATTAGCCAGGTTGTGGTGGTATGCACCTGTAGTCCAAGCTACTGGGGAAGCAGAGGTGGGAGGATCGCTTGAGCCCAGAAAGTCGAGGCTGCAGTGAGCCAGGATGGCACCACCACACTCCAGCCTGGGTGACAGAGAGAGGCCCTATCTTCAAAAAACAACAAAACAAAACAAAACCAGCAAAACCCCCGTATTCTCTGCATTGTTTCTATTGCCATTTAAAAAATATTATACAACACAATTTTTTAGTTGGAATACATTTTCAGTTTCTTGTAAAGTATTTGAGTATTTCTGCATTTGATGAATGCCTGGATATTTTGAGTTTGCAACATTGTTTAACACATTAGCCAGCTTCAGTGTTTTATTTTCCAAATTACTTGTGTTTTTGCTCATATTTTCTAGTTGAAGAGGGTGACATTTCTACGCATAGTCCCAGGATGGCATTAGGATTTCTGATGCTTTAGTTTTTCTTTTTTTTTTTTTGCCCTTTATTCACATTTTCAAAACAATTCATGTGCTCTGAGATTATTTAGTTTGAGCAGAGAATGGACCCAGAAAGACTTTTTTCCAACATTTTAACTTGGAATGTTTTTGGAATCACCTAAGATCTACCTATTAGCTAGCATTTACTTCCCAAAAGATTAAAGAAAATCCTGGAAAGCGTGTATTTTCCCAAAACCTTATTGAGAAACTTGCATGTCTTTAGTTTTTTAAAAATAGTTCATGAAATCAATTTTTCTGTGATTCTATCCAATTTTACCTTGACCACACATTTATGTGAAATAAACTGGCATTTTTACATAGCCTGCAATCTTAAAAGTATAATGGCAATACAAATTAATCAATATTTAAGAAATGTATAGCCATATGTATACATGTAACATTTTTCAAATTTAATAGGAACAACAGTGATGTTATAAAACATCAGTTAACATTAAAGTATGTCTTGTCTTCTGTTGCTAAATCCTATTACAGGTATTAAAATATTCATCTGACTTACTTAAGAAGGACTATTGATATATGTGTTTTCTAAAAGAAATTTTTGTCTTGAGAAAATGTCCACGTGGCCTGACCCAGTCAGCTTGTCATTGTTGAGTATGATTAGCTGTGTGTGGATGGGCAGTGGGGTGTATTTCCATGTCAGGTGCAATGCGATCTGGGAGATCTGCCTCCCCATTGCAAACCTGTCCTCACAGGTGTGACCAAACAGACGCGCATCTGTGTGTCTCATCTCCCTCAGCAGTACCAGGATACTCTGCCCTGGGATGGAGGTGGGGGCCCTGTGGTTCAAGGAGAGTCTGCAGCAGGTACAAGCTCCTCTGGCTTCTTCCTGCAGTGGGGGCTCCCCCAGGGGCAGGTCAGTGACTAACCCCTGGTGAAAATTCCTAGGCCTTCAGGAAGGGTCTTTCTATAACCACATTTTGAAGGTCTCTTGTGGGGAATGAGTGGGGTGCAACTTGTCCCTAGGCTTATAAACAGACCCTTTTGAAATTACAGACATGTTTTCAACCCCTTAGAACATCATCACTATTATTTTTTTTAATTTTTGCTTCATCGAATATAAGTTTTCTTTTTGTTTTATAAATTAATATTGCTCTCCAATTTTGTTAATATTCAGACATCCAGATTTTTGTGGATAAAATAAAAATTTTGTGCACTGCTTACTGTATTTTTGAAAAACTGATTTTGTTCTTAATGGGAAATTTTGCTTTCCAAGATAATAATAATTTTTTTATGGAAAACAAATGAAATGAATAATTCCCCCAGACATAGTGATGGGAAGTTAAGTTTTACAGAATGAGGACCCTTGGAGCTGATTTCAAGCCACAGAAGCCTGTCGCTTATGGACACAGGTGACAGCCGGGGATCTGCTGTTATCGTAAAAGTAGAAAAGATTCTTTGGACATGAGCTACTTCTCAGGTCTAGCTGTTTAAGGAAAATAAACATTGCATCTCTTGTGATAAATATATGAGTTACGACAGAATAATGACTTTTATTCACAGCTGTGATGTTTCCTGTAATATAAATAAGCAACAGCATGGCACTGCGGTCTACTTTTTGTAAAATATTTCAATAACGCCTCTTTGAACAATCAGTTGGATCAAATCTTAACATGTATCAGTCTGATCTAATTGCTATATTAAATGTGGCATTTTTGTAAAATAATTCCTTTTGATTATATTTTCGAAATGTGTTCCAATCCATCATAGGATTTTAGAAAAAGCTCAGTAAATTGTTAAGTCCAACATTCTCATGTTAGAGAGTATGAAATTGAGACTTGGGTCACATAACTATTCATAGAAAATTTCAGATTTAGTAGTTATGTCAAAATTACTTGCCTCCTAATTATGTCGTCTCTTTCCATCAATAATTATGATGTTCTTGAAACACGTAAATGTCAACAATGAACTCATATGATGGAGTCATATTGACTGAGAACATGTAAAGATCTATTTAACTATGAATTATTGATATGAATGAAAAGTTGTACTAACGAGAAAATCTGTGTCTTTAAAACCTCAGTGGTTTCGTTTGCCCAGGTATTTTTCAGGCCTGGTTGCCATTTCCATTTTGTTTTAACACACATAATTTCTGTACTTTAATCGTTACAGTACAATTTAACCCTTAAAACCGTTTTGGTGAAATAAAAATCTTGAATGTTTCCTCATTTAGACTTGGATAATTATAGGATATGTATAAATTCACACATATATTTATAGAATATCCATGTATTTAATGTTAGGATATATATCATTTTATCAATATTTTATAAGCTTCCTTTTGAAAGATTAAAATCATTTCTTCCAAATGAGTAATTTTTTTAAAAAAAAAACCTTATAATTCCTCCGACAGAATTAATTACTATTTATATTTAAAATTAACCCTTTAATAATACATAAAACATTAGTAACAATATTTGACTTTGAGGCAGTAAAGTGGGTGCCCAAATGTCGAGGATAATCGTACATCTTTTGATACTTTTAAATTTTTAATGTGCATTATTACCTTTTTGAATGAAATCAATTTTTGTATTAAAGTGAAACTCTTTTTAAAGTAATTCTATTAATAGCCCGTTCTTTAATTCCACTCCCTCTATGTCTTCATTTCACAGTTTCACGTGGAAAGAATAATGGCTGTGAGTGGCTGACTCGGGATGCTGGAGGAGAGCGTGGGTGACAGGTTGTGTTAGGCACTTCTCAGTGACCGAGCCAAGGGGCCGGGGCCAGGCTCCCGGTGGAAGAGAGGCCTCTGCCCGGTGCAGGGGACCAGGCACCAGGGTGATGAACAGCGGCCTTCTCCTTCCCTCTCTCCACCCTGCGCTGTGGAAAACTGATCCGGGGCTCTGGGTGTTTGATGATGGGGAAAAGAGGAGCCATCACCTCGACACACCCATGGGCAGGAACAGGAACCCTGCATAGGACCAGCCCATCTGTGCTCCTTACCACTGGGAGCACAAAGTCCACGGGAAGGATTTTCTGTTACAGAACAGCGTGTGCTGGGATTGGATGTGCTTTTCCCAGCTAGGAAAGCTGGCTTTGGCCTCCAGCGGAGGCTGTTAGGGTTTCGCCTTCTTCCTGCTGGATACCTCTTGCCCCACAGGAGCCACTCCCCAGCCAGGCCTCTGGCTGTCAGCTTTATGATTTTCTGAGGGAGGAACAGCAGGACATATTTATCTTCAAAAAGGTCACAACTCATTTCTGAGTGTACGTTGACATGAAAAGTTGACATGATAATGACAGATATCTCATTATCCTGAATTCGGAATATTTTTCTTATCACTATTCCCTTATGAGAATTTTTCGTGTTGATGGTTATGTTTAGAAATAGCAAAGCGTCTCCTCTTCCTGTGTACCTACTTCTGGATTTTATGATTCCTATGTATTTCTACTTTGTATGAATTAATTTTCCTCCTTAAAATGCATCCATCTCTGCCTGCAGAGGAAACGTGATGTTTACATACCCTTCATTGCCAATGTATCCCTTGACCCGATCAGAGTTCAGCTGTTGACATGGAGTTACCTTGTAACAGTTCATCTGAATTGTATCTTTAATCTCCTGGACTGCAAAAATAAATAAATAAATAAATAAATAAATAAATAAACAAATAAATAAATAATATTCCCATGTAATCTTTTGTCGTTAATACAGCTTCCGGCTGCTCAAAATTATATTGGTGACTTAAAAGAAGTACCGGATGATGAGAAATCACTACACAATATTGTGATTGAAACTTGTTCCCTGTCAACAACTACAAGGCACAGAGAAACGTGACTGAGGAATTCTGAACTGTTGGAGGGTGTTGAGAGCAAAGCAACACTATTAATCATTGCATGATTCTGAAGTTATTTGACGTTGGGATGGAAGTGTTCATGTTTTTGGAATGACTTTTGAAAATAGAAAAAAATGTTTATTATCCAGTATTTCAACTCTCCTTTAAGGCATCAAAAATGTTTTAATAGAAATAATTTATATTTCAAACACCAAGATGCTTTTCAATATTTATAACTTTTAAATACCTTGCAAAAATATAAAATAAGAGTGGGATCAGGAAAAGAGTTAAAGCATTTCTAACTTTGAATCATTTTAAAATATGTTTACTTGGAGATCAATGAGCTCCAGAGAAATTCTCTCTCAAGATGTTCAAAGCTTTGAAGATATTATTGGCTATGAGGCACGGTGAAAGTATGCAGTACCTGTTCAATTACGAACCTGGCTCCCTAACAGGTCCTTATTGAAGAATGTTGATTTCATTTTCTAACCCGCACATTCGTCTCATACCATCAAAAGGTAGCACCTTCTGCAGCTGCTTTCAGAAAAAATGCCAACAAACGCCAAGCAAATCACTGTTTTGATGAGATTTTATGCAGAAATTCTTAGGGCCCCAAGAAGACCTAGAGTAATTGTGGGTGGCATTTAGCTTTGAAAGTATTTCTTAAAGTGTATGATAATTTTTGCAAAGTAAGTGAAACATTTAGTCTTCCGTCATTATGATAAATTATATAATATGGGCATAAAATGGAACACATTTAATCTCACAAACATGCAATGGTATTGAAAATTGAAATAGAGCTATTAACATTTAGGATTAGTGATTGTAAACAGTGGTGTGTTTTGACAGTAGTTTTGTTTACCTTTCTCTTTTTAAAAATGTTGCCTGTTTTTGTTCTTTTTTTCTTTTGGCTCTTCAGAATATTTATTCATTTTTCACATAGCATATGAAAGGGAAAGTGACTACTGAATTTAAAAATGAAATTTTTTTAGGAATGCTGAAGTCTTTCAAAAGTTACTGAACATCTATTATATGCTAACTTCTGAAAAACTGAAGTTAAATCAGGTATGATCTTTACCACTATATTTCTTTTTCTAGCACACAGACATATATACATATGTATATGTCTCTCTGTGTGTATGTATATAATCACTTATTTCTTTGAACACTTATGTTCGTATATATGCAATGTGCTGAGCTGGACATTTAAGCAGCTTTACAAATAATGATATATTCAATAGTTCTATACACAAAGAGGTATAAATTATATGAACAGACAAAAAAGTTAACTGGCAACCCCTAGAGTAAGCATTCCAACCAAAGATTTATTATGTTAATACAGAAAACTTCTCAAAATACTGCTATACCTTATTATGTCTTATATAGCAACTATTTTTTCCCCAAAAGCTATTTAGGCACCAGTAACAATATCTTCCTTCTCTTCCTCTCTTTTACTGTGTTTCTCTCCTCTATCTCTCCCCCCAGAGCCACTTCACTGTAATGTCTCCTGAGATCCAGGGCAAATGAAGGACGGGAAAGCCCCCAAACCTTGTGGTCTGTGTCGACGCTGCCTCAGGTGTGCAGAAGATACAAGCAAATGCTGTGGCAGGTGCAAGCTCCCCGCCAGGTCTGCTCTGGCATAAACAGCAGCAAGGTTCTCAAGAAAGGAATTCTACAAGGATAGAGAAAAATACTGTCTAACACACTTAAGACTTTAGTTCAAAATGCTCTCACATATTAGAGTTCCTGTTGGAGATCCCTAGTCTTCTTGGCTTAGAATAGTTTGGTGGTGGGATTGATGCCAGGCCAGTCACTGAGCCGGGTTGTGGAGGGAGCTTTGTTCCTGTGGGATTGGCCCCCGTGTGAATCTGTTCTGTGCTGGAGGCCCCTGCTTGATCGGATCACGAGATTCCATTTTTCTCTTTCAAGCTACCCTTAGCTTTTAAGCCACTGCCTTTCCCCATCAACATCTTGGGCTAAAATGGAATTTATTATTGAAATGTTGGTAAGTAAACATGCATCTGTTGTTCTTAAATCAGTGATTTTCTTCATAATGGTTTCCATGTACACAATAATCTTTCCCTATAAACTACATTTATCCAAAAGGCACACACAGGTTTTTCTGTAAACAGAAATTGGGGCTGAGGTTTTGGGCAAAAAAAAAAAAAAAAAAAAAGAGATGGCCCTTCATCTTTCTTTCATTTCATGCTTCCAAAAGAACAATCATATCTCTTTATGTCTGCCTCACAGCGTCCTTTATTATTAACATCTGTCAGAAGTCACTGCTGTCTGTGTTCCATTCCTTGTGCTTTCATCTCTTCCACGTCTGCTGGATTCAGTTTATAGGTGCCTTCAGGCGCCCTACCCTAACAGTGCAGAAACAACAAAATCACCTTCATCTTTCTTAGTCATGCAACATTCTTTCTAGTTAGTATTTTATTCCTCACTTTTAAAATCCAGATTTAAATAAGTCAATTGCCATTGTCTTTATTTCCTCATCATCCCCTAATGTATCAACACACTGACATCAAGACCTCTTAATACAAAATCCAGTGGAATGCATTCTATGTTCTTTGCACACAATCTTGTTGGACCATACAACTTTGTAAAACATCTTTTCTTGAACATTTCTTCTTCCTTGCTTTCAAAGATACAATTCTACTACTTTTGCTACAATTTCTCTGGGTATTATTTTCCTGCCTTTTTAAGTTTCATCGATTTGTAGCAATGGCACAAACATAAAGTATATACCTTTATGAGTTTCTACATATGTATTCACCATAAATCCAGAAAATTAACATATTCATCACCCCAAAATCGTTTTCTCATACCCGTCTTCCTTCCTCTTCAACCACAATCTTATTTTCATCAGTAAAGGTGTCTTTGCATTTTCTAAATCTGATATAAATGCAATTATACAGTAAGGCACTCTTTTGTGTCTAGCTTCTACACTGACTCTATTTACTTTGGGATTTATTTATGTTGTTGCAGATATCAGTAATTTGCTCCTTTTTATTTTTGAATAGTATTCTATTGTATGGCTATGTTATGAAATTTTAATCCACTTATTTGTTGATAGATCTTTGAGTCGTTTCCTGGACAATAACTTTTAAGGCTGTCCTTAATCATTGATCTCATCTTTGAAAATTTCCCTTATTATTCCTCCTCGTTGACATGACTCTGCTTGGTTAAGTGATCCTACACTGTAACCCACACTTTTTAATTTGCACAACTGCAGCTTTTCTAGACCGGGAAATTCTTTGGTTTAGAAACAAATTGTGTAGGACCAGGCTAATCTGACATTGTCTGCTCCAAAAAGTGGATGTCCAATAAACGTTTTCTGAATGAATGGATTCCCAGATTGTTGGACTGCCAGACAAATGACTATACTCACATGTAAACTACAAAATGAGTGATGGGCTGGCTGGTGACTGGAGCCATATAGGGTTTCCCTGATGGATTTTTGTACCGTCTAATTTAATGTTTCTGAAATGCTGTGGAACCTCTTACACTATTCCTGATTCGCCAACCTGTTCAGGTTTAATATTTTTCAGTCACATTGTGGGTGGTCATCCCTGGAAATCCTGCTCTCCAATTCAGAGGGAAAGAAACAAATTAAACCTTTCAAAGTTCTTCTCTTCATAGTCACAGTCTCAAGCCTCCTCCTTCTTTGAGATTTTGTGTTTTCTTCAAAATCTCTACAGTAAGATTTCCCAGTCTCCACCATCCTTCCCAACTGGAATGTTTCCCACCCTAGTGTTTTTCTCTCTTCCCCCTTCTAGTGCTGCTGGAGCATAGCAATGCCCAGATTTGTGTTTACATGTGAATTCAACCTGATCAGTGCCACGGGAGTCTGAAGAGGGAGGGTTTCATCAGAACCATCCAAGGAAATCCTCCGTGAACCAATGGTGCATTATTTATTTTTCAGCTCTGAAAATGAATACAATGTCTACAATTCATCAAGTCTTCTTCATAATGTTGAAATATTTCTTAATGTCTGTCAGGAATAAACACTCAAAAACGTAAAACATTGCCTGGAAAATGGTAGTATTAATCCATATGTGAGACTAAATTTATTAACGCAAAATGCAGGGGAAGGTTTGTGACTCTCTGAAGGTCTCACTCCTTCCTCATCTTACTCCGACAGTCTCAAGAACTGCAGAGAAAGAGCCCATACCAGTTTCTTTGCTCATGGCAAGGAAAGAAACAATTCTGCTCATGGTGGCAGAAAAGTCCAGGAAACTCTGGGAGCTTTGCACGAGTGAAGAACAGAAATACTATGCAAGAAAGTTAAGGGACGACATTATCTGTGAAACTGAATCAAATTTGTCAATTTGTTCTAAGATTTTCTTCCTTCAATTCATTGGGTGTGGGCGAGAAATGGGCCATCATATCAAAAGCCACGGACCTCTGAATCCAACCTCTAAATTATGATTTAGGATACCAGTTCAACTTCATTGTTGATTCAATAAATGTTTATTGGGTTCCAGTATTTACAGGGCATTGTCCTAGATGTTGGGGCCACAGTGTGAATGAGATGAGTTCCCTGTCATGGCACCTACGTGAGAGGCAGAATAAATAAACATCACACACCGTTACAGACATGGAACATGCTTTCAGCTTGGTGGAAGATTCCATAACGTAAAATAAAGCTGGGTAAGGAAATAGAGAGTGGGAAGCTTTGGGGTGTGTTGTAGACAATCTGGGTGGCTTCCTCTATCTCTGTGCCTGTTCAGGTTCTTGCTGGTGGGCTGTGGGCCCTGACATTTCAGAGGTCATCTAGTCTCACAATAAAGGCACTTTGTTAGATTGGGGCTGGAGACTGAAAATATTTAACTGGTTTGTGTTTCTTTCACCTAGAAGAATTCCCAAATCAAGCTTGGCCAACAGCAATTGAATCAGTGGTTTCATATCAGCATCTCTTCAAAAAGATGTTAGGTTTATTTCATGTTTGTAGGTAAATTACACAATGTCTCAATTATAAATTCAGTTGCTTACGTTATGAAGCAGTCATTGAAAGTCATGCTACTTAAGGAACATTAATGGAGTCTAATCCAAACACGATGCCACTAGGAGCTGACTCTCATTATGTTCAGGACCATGGTGTGTGAGGCAGAAACCAGATCAGCCATGTTCAGTAGCCAAGGGCACTACGCACATACACCACCTTGAGAATACTTCTTCGACCTTGCTTTGTTTTATTTTTTTTGCAGTGGTGAATAAAGTAAGCTTCTTTCATGTTTAGATACAGATCATCTAGTTGTTAGAAAAATGATGAAAATATTCCCTCTTCTTCATGAATTAACAGTGTTAAAAACTTGTGTCAAGTACTTTCTTGTTTTCTATGGGCCTTCCCTTACAGTCCTCACACAGCACAGTAGGAAACAGTATCGTGGGTTCCATATCCGTGAGAGAGTGACACTTACAGAAATGGAGCCCTCGTCCAGTTTATTTAGCTAAGAAGAGGTAGAGACGACTTTTCCCCAGAAGTAAAAGTAGCACATGCTTGGCAAATATTAATAAATTGATGCTAATAACATCAAAACTGTGTTTTCCAAGGATCACAACCCTTACCACTTTTGCATGCGTATACTGTTATATTCACCACATTCTATCATAATCGTATATTTCATTCCTGAATTCTTTTATAATTCTGTGCATCCTTAGTGTCTAGTCTAATGTTTGGCACAGATAAATGTTTGCTGAGTGGTTGTGTGAACGACAGAGACTAAAGACCTCACAGTAAAGTGAACCAGACGTAAAAATAAATAGGTGCAATGCAAAGTGATCTGCGATGTTACAGTGGAATCCTCAGAGTGTGTGTGAGCACTGCTGACTTATCTATTCTATGGACAAGAGCCACAGTGCTTCCTGTAAAACAGAATATTGAGGGACTTTAATTCCCATGTGTCCAACCCAGTTCCTCTGCTCCCCGTTCCCGGGTGGAGCTAGGCTACTTGATCGTTCCATTCTCCTCCAAGTCAGAAGTGCATTGTGGTTTTCCAAAAGTTGTTTAGGTGAGAAGAGAAACAAGAACATACTTGAGATGAGATGACCTGGCTTCCATTTTTTTTTGTAGAGTCATTATCTCAGGCAGACAACTTAACATTTCCAACCACTGACCGCATGTACTGAATAAGCTCGAATCATGAATGATAGATTGTCTGGTTAAGTTCATCTCGGTTGTCTTCTATGTGTAATTGATATAGTATCAATTAGTCAGAGCGTTGTGTGAGATAAAGCCTGTGAATGCATTTTGTAAACCATGAAGTGATACATACATACGTTAATATTGTTAGAAAGTTGTGGGGAAGAACATGAAGAGAGACCTCCAGCCTAGAGTTAAATTATGAAATTCTAAGATGTAGTCTCTTCATTACATGGTTCCAAACTTCTGGAGAGGTGGGGCCAGGCGCTGTCTTATTCTGGGAAGTAGTCTCAATCCAGGCCGCACGTTAGAATGCTGTAGAAAGCCTGCAAAAGTCCTGATACCTGGGGCCTAACAGAGACCATTTAATTGAAAATCTTAGGACACAGGGGCACGTGTCCACAGGATGATTCTGCCTGGCCAAGGTTGCACCCAGCAGGGCTCATACTATGACTTACCCTGTTCCTACTTCTCTTTGTTATCCTTGGCCCATTGAACAGATTGGATTTAAGTAGCAAACTTGTAAAATGCAACACCATGCGCTCACTAAATATCAAGTATTCTTCAAACATGGACTCACCCAAACTCTTCCCAGCCAGATTTATAACCAACCACACTTGACCGCAGACAGGCCTTACACATTCTTCATATGATCTGAAGCACAGAGTGAGTCTCTTGGGGACAGGTGGAAATGCATTTTTTTTTTAAGTTTAATACGTTTTGGCTGAGGTTAAGTTTGTTAAGACCATTAAATATTTAAACCAGTTTTCTCAGAAGGACTTTTGAATTAAAAGGAAAATTTGAAAGGTATTTTAATAATTCCAATGTTAGCCTCTGGGTAGAATTTTCTTACATTTAATTATGAATTCCCAGGCTACCTTTTCTACTGATATATTCATAACCACATATTCATATCCATAAAAATAAGCAATTATACTTTCTGCCAATGGCTTCCTGTGTGACTACATGTGGCCTTCCTACTTGATTAAGGATTTCAGCAAATTTAATATAAATATCTCCTTTAAGAACCTCTGAGAAATGAATGTATTAAAGTATGTTAAATTTGCCATGCAACTGAAACTTAGTAGAAATCTTTGTAGTCAACTAAATTCTACTTTCAGCTAGAAAACTTTGTGCAAATCATTATTTAATCCAGAGATTAACACTACATCCTGAGAAAACATATAAAATAACGTCTCCTTACCTACTTTTCTGTAAAGTTACACCAAAGCATCATTTAGGAGATCTATACTACAAACATTCTGTGAAATCCTGTGCATATTTTCATTTTCCTTATTAACAGAAATAGTTATAAAAGTATTTTTTGTCATATTGCCTACATTGCTTTAAACGCCTTTACCTGTCTCCCTTTAAACATATCCACCCTTTAAATATGACTCAAAATTCACTTACAAAATGCCTTTCCCAATGCCTGACCATTTCATGTTCCCAAGCCTCTCTCTATGGGCATATTTATGTAACAGGACTTACCATATTATGTTATAATTGGTTATCTATCTGCTCACACTCTTGTTCTATTTTGTGGCATGGTGACAATCTCTGTATTTTTGTCATTTTTATAGCCCCAGTGTTCAAATCAGCACAAAATAGATGCTCAAAACCTTCTTAACCTACTTAGAGAAATAACGGTACTTCGACGTTTTTCCCTGTTTATTAAGGGGTCTCAGCATTAATTTTCCATGGTCTTGCTGGGTTTCTACTCAGCTTAGATCTTCTTTTGTATTTTAAATTAGCCAGTCACTTGGCTGAAAAAGCAACCCTGTTGCCCTGAAGGAAACAGCTGTGTCAGGCCACCCACAGGGATCTCAGAAGGATGAAGGGAACGATTGTGTTATTGTATCACGGGCAGCTCTGCCGGGACTCCTAATGCTCATTGAGACGTTTTACCATGAGGATTCGGAAAACATAAATTGCATCTCATAGAAACCATCTCCTTTGTGGTACGTGCTTCCCAGAGATGCACAGGTCATTTAATAAAGAATTACCTGCTGGTACTTACATTATGTTGTTGGCAGAAAAGTGCCTTATAAAGAGGGGCCATTTTTACAGTGTGATATCCACGGGGTCCCTCGGGAGGCCGTCTGAAAATGAGGCTATTTCACTATTGGGCATGCTGGCTTCTTGGCAGGCCAGCTGAGTCCGCGATGTGAACTGCTAATTGCTGATTTCCAAGACTTGGACTGTCTTTCTGTTATGCAATGGGCTGAGAACGCCCCTTCCTTCCCACAGGCTGTGTATGACTAATCCACTGTTCCTTATTAGAAAGACGGACCTTGCTCCTAAGGGTGACCTAGATGTGAAAAACTCACATTCTCCTGCTAATTCTTTAAATTAGCAAGTTCTCCAAGAGCAAGCTCGGGCTAAATCCGCTTAAGCTAGTCTTCCTCTTCCTCAGCTTACTACAGTATTAGAAATTTTGCCAGCGGCACAGACTAAGGGTAGCATGAAAAGCAATGAAAACATCTAATTTTATAGCTGTCAGGATAAATACCAAAATAAGATATTAAATGTAAAAATGTGAATAATAGGCTAAATAGTGCCTCCCTGAATATAGTGGGAATTTTAGCATTTTTATCACATGACCTCGGGGATGCATGCCAGGGTCACCCAGGGAGCTGCGTCTTCATATTTCACCTCGAGGGTGTCTCCCGCCTTGGGTGCATACTCTGTTCTTAAGGGTCTGTCTCGCTCTTCAGGCGCAGAATTCACTGCTAATTCACACTCTCTCTGTCTTCCTTGAAGGGTCACGTTTGCAGAAGAGCTCCACTGTAGGGCAGGGGAAGGAAATCCTTCCTCTTTCTTTTCTCGGACAGCCTTATCTCAGCTGTCATTCTCCAGGGATCTCTGCTGGGGACTAAATTCCTTAAGGCCATGCCTGCACTTGCAAATACTTCTTAAGCATCGTGAAATGTGTTAGAAACAAAATCCTCACCTGCTGTTCATAGAAGAAATCCCTGCTAAGTTATAAATGAGTTTCTGCAGCCCAGGAGCGCCTGTCTACTTGGGGAGCTTAACCAGAGGTGTGTGCAGCCTGCCCAGTTGTTCAGTGTGTAGCGCGGATGGATGGTTCTTTTGTTATGAAAACCAAAGAACTGCCTCCAGCAACCCTTCTGGCCCCAGGTGCACATGTCCCACTCAGAAGGGTATCATGACATGTGAGCGGGAAAGACAGGCAGTTCAGGGAATGTGTGTGTGGACAGGGAGTTAAGGGGCCTGTCATTACAAGAATCTTATTTGCTTCCACACTGCCCCATATCTTTGAGGACCATATCCTCCCCAATGCTCGGTATCCATGATTTTCAGGTGGCCGACAGGGCCACACCATCTGCAGCAACACCAGGCATCCTAATGTCTAACGTGAATGAGCTGAAGTTTCTCAGATACTTTGCAAGCTCTGAATCCTTGAGCCCCCTAGCCTGTGGGGCTGCAATGTAACTGTGCCTGTTTCTCATAGGAAACTGGGGCACAGGAGCCTAAATGACCTGCCTAGTATTACTTGTAGCAGGAAGACGATTCTTACGATGGGAGATTCTAACATGCGGGTTCTACGGCACAGAATAAGATGGAAACCCCTGCGTAGCAGGTGCTCTGTATTCTTGTTTCTGTTCATGCTTGTACAATTGAACAGGATAAATGCTTAACTATACTTTCAAATGTTGTGAACGATCAGCTTCTGTGCTATGACAGATTGTGCTAACTCTCGAGATTTCACTCCTGTCTCCAACACGCTTGTCATGGTCAGACCCACCCCAAGCGTGCAATTGCACACACACCTGTAAGCACTCTTCAGGGCTGACCAGGTGCCAGCTGTGTGACAGGCACGATGTAACCATCGTATCCACCAGCCCAGGAGTTATTTACTTGGAATCTCCTACGCCCAAACGCTGACAGGGAAGCGCAGGTTTAAAGCACAAATGTAATTATTCAATTATTCCAGTGATGTGTGGAGGCAGGATTTGAACCCGGATCTGTCTTCATCTCAGCACAGCTCTTTATTATGGAGTCCCAGGGTTACTGCATCCCCCAACCAGGGCTCTCCATGGCCTTTCAAAGAAGACAAACCCATACTGTGTACCTGTCAAGGTCCCTCTCAGGGTGCGGCTGTCTGCAGGGCACCCTCCGCACAGCCCAGGCAGGGGCATGGGCGGCGAACACACACCTTTCAAATCAGGCATCCCACCTGCCGCCAGTGGTACCACCGCAAACCACCAAACTCTATTTTTACCACTTAAATAGTTAAGCACAGGCACCTATAGTTTCTTTGCCAAAAACAAAACAAAACAAAACAAAAAACAAAAACAATGTGTTTTGAAAGAGATACAAATTTTAAAATATGACTAACCTTTTCTTTTTCTTGGTCGAACGGCTCTGTCCTTATGTTAATTTCATTCACTGGAACTTTATGTTCTTGGTCCCGAGTAACTAAAATACTTGGTCCTGATTTTTGAAATGCTAGCTTTGGTTTCAATGTATTATAACACAAATAGAGGCAAGGAATTACAAAATCAATGAATCCCAGGAGGCTTGCTCTGAAAGGCGGAAGTTCTTCTGCTCCACTTCATGGATGGTTGTGGAGGGCGCTGTGCTTAACAGCAAATCTGGATTGGAACCAGTGCCTTCTGAGTCCGTCTGCTCACACATGAGAAACAGGCAAAATGGTGCTCCCTCTTCAAAGCCTTATAATCAAGAGGTTATATACATACAATTACTATAAAATATTTCATTATATAAATATTTCGTATAAATGTATAATATATAGTAGACTATATAACAAATGAAAATAAATATATACAGTCTTCTGGTTATTGAAGGCCTGCTGTACATACAATTTAATATGTATAATAAAACATAAGTAATAAAGTATGCATTTAATATATATATATATATCTCACATTGTCTTATGCATCATGGGTGCCCAGGAGATGTAATTGTTTGTATTAAACCAATGTGTTAAGAAAGACATTTAGAAAAAAAGACAACAGAAATGTTCAGACAGGCAAACTGAGAGGTGGAAATAGGCAGGTCTGATTTAAAATATGACGGTGATGTGATCACATGGCTTCAAAGTGTTAGGGTCCCACAAACTCGCCTATGACCATAAGGGATGACGTTTCCATCTCCCGCTTACCCAGTGTCCTGCTGTGCCCTGGAAGCCCTGTGTGGGCCTTGAAAACACCTGTTTTCCATTTAGACAAAGGCCAGGAGAAGCCTTGGATAAGAAGCCTTGGATAATGGTCAAGAGAAGTACCCAGGTTATCTTAGAGGACCTGGAATGACCCGTTTCTTAGAATTTACCAAACTGTTCTTTGCCAAATCAACATGCTCCTCACAGACACACCAAGGAACAGTACTTCATCCTTCAGTCCAATCAAGTTGACACTCAATGTTGACCATCACAGTAGCAGGGCTGATAACAGCCAGCCCGGAGTACAGCAGAAAGCCAAGAGAAACGTATCTGCAAAGCGAAAAAAAAACGAAGCAGATTAATTTTCAGATGTGTGTGTACAATCAAGTCAGGAGGGGTTTATATTGTTGTTTCTTTTTTTTCTGAGATTTTTGTCAAAATGAGTGACAATCATATAGGACACTCATTAAACATGAACGTGAGACAATGAGCTTGAGGAAAGAAGAAAAAACAGTGTACAATGAAATCAGTGTCATTATACACTCGGAGCAATTCACCTCTGTGCAGACGCCACACTGCCGTCGTGATGGTGTAGACGGGGCTCTGACTCAATGAAGCTGTGGGCTGCTCAGCCTCCAGGTGCAGCAGCCGGTTTGTATGGACGCACGTGGAATGGAGCCAAAAGGGGCAGCAGAAAACCAGTGACATGTCTGAACTTGAAAAGTAAAGATAGACCCGGGTAAACAGTCTACTTAGAAAGGTGACAGTAAATACGGAAAAAGCAGCTAACATTTTCAAAGCCACTTGCTGCCGTGAAATGGAAAACAGCAGTGGCAGGCAGAGGAGGTTCCTAAAAGTCCAGGATACTATTAATATTGGACTTTTAAAAATATGTACCTGAATTACAGCAATTAAAACATCTTAAGTGTCTACTCACATGCTTTTCCTTGGGAAAGATGAAGACTCTGATAGTTGGTTCTTCAGGAGCGGGTGTTGCTTTTACTCCCACTGCCTGTTTAGTCTGCCAAGGAACAAAGCAAATAAGCAACACGGAGTTGCATGGCTTGAGGTGTGGTTCCCACCTCTGACCTCTGAGGAACCCTGAGGGTCTCACGAGGGCCCTGGGCAGCTGCCGTAGGCATTGCTTACAGGGTTTCGTTTCTCTCATTTGCATTTATTGCTATTTGAAGTAGCACTATCTCCCCCTCTCAGTTCTAAGCTCCTCAGAGGCAGAGAAAAATACATCAATTTTCTGGAATTGTTCCAAGTATTAGAAAGGATAATTTAAATATCTGGCTCTAGTTGTTTTCACCATAATCACATATAATGATGTTTTATCACCTTTAGCTGCTCTCTTCCCACTCTCTCGTCCACGCTGGAGCCAAATAAATGCACTCATCCTATTTGCTGAAGAGTGTGATTAATGCTCTCTCCTCTGATGGAAGCATAGGACCCAAAACAATTTTTTTAAGCAAAATCACCTCAATGTCAGATTATTATGCATGAGACCATAACTTCAACATGATCGTGAAGTTTAAAGCTAAAGTGCCAGAGGTATGGGAGAGTGTCGTGTGTGTGTGGGTTGGTGTGTGCAAGTGTTGACCTGCCAACACTGACAGAAGCGGCGGTTTGTCTATGACCAAAGTGAGGATGAATTCACAGGTAAGTGTCCTGGAGGGAGGTGCCTCATTACCACAGGTTACCATTATACGCTCTGTTGTATCCAACAGGGTATATCTTCCTCATCCACTAAGCAAACAGGTGTCTGTGAGAACCAACAATGTTAACAAAACATGCTCATTGAAAAAAATATGCATTACCTTAGGACATATGGGTGAAAATAAACGTTCTAATACTACTGTATATTGTGGGGTATACAACCTTCTCTATTTTAAAGGTCAAAAATAATGCTTTTGAGCATTTCTCATGAAAGGTTAGAAATTCTAATCCCGTCCTTACTATGTTATATCACAACCCTATCATATAAACAGGTGTGTCATCTGGCTTGATTTTAAAATATTCTTTTTAATAAATACAGGTTAACAATATAGAGGCACCAGAAGCAACACACATCTCACTTTCAGAGTGTGTGTGTGTGTGTGTGTGTGTGTGTGTGTGTGTTTGGCATCTGGGAAGAAAGAAACTTAATGCATTGGGGTAAGTCACGTCATTGGTTTAACCCTTTCCTACTTAGTATGCCTGTGGATACTGGAATCTTGAGTGCAGTGTTCCCTTCTAATGGATGGGAAGGAACTGCCAGGAACCTTGCATGTTTATAAGAATTTCCCTGGAAATATCTTAAAAATATATATTTCTGGACCCCACTAAAGATCTTAAAAATTATGCTTATATGGTATGAGACCTGTGAACTGTGTATATTTTTATCCCCCTCAGCTCTCCTCAGAGGAACCAAGTATAGCTGGCCTGACCTCATATTGTTTTGGAATAAGGATTTAAAAATCACTGTAAAATTAAAGATGTTTCTTAGAAAAATTGCCATTCAACCCATCATATAAAATGTAAATGATCTCAATTATGTATTCCAGATCATGACATCAAAAATGATCTCAATTTATGTATTCCAGAAATAGACATTGGAAAAAAAATAGGCTATGTTAAGCCTAGAAATCATAAAGAATTCTTAAATTTATGTATGTAGTGTGAAAAAAATAGTGAAATGCTACTTAAAATAAACTTACACCTAAATCTTAATATAAAATTCAAACATCATGCAATGAGTTGAGGAATAGCAGTACCCAGCTCTAAAGGAATGGATTTGGGGCATTTTTCTGTGCTTGTTTTCCTACTCAATCGTAGGTAGAGTTAACAACAGGGAAGATGTGCTTTCATTTCAAGTTGGAAACTGAACATATTACTTCTTAACATTTTTAATTGTAACTAAGTTTAAATATATAATTTCAACTCATTTATCTGTGATGACCTGTCCTATTTTTTGCATGAGACACTGAGAATGAGAAGCAAAAACTTATAATTTTTTTTTTTTTTTGAGACGGAGTCTCGCTCTGTTGCCCAGGCTGGAGTACAGTGGCACAATCTCGGCTCACTGCAAGCTCCGCCTCCCGGGTTCATGCCATTCTCCTGCCTCAGCCTCCCGAGTAGCTGGGACTACAGATGCCCGCCACCAAGCCCGGCTAACTTTTTTTGTATTTTTAGTACAGACAGGGTTTCACAGTGTTAGCCAGGATGGTCTCGATCCCCTGACCTCATGATCTGCCCGCCTTGGCCTCCCAAAGTGCTGGGATTACAGGCGTGAGCCACCGTGCCTGGCTAATTTTTAAGTCAGTTACTGAACAGAAGCAGTTATCATAGCTCAATTTTATATATTATGTATTTAGGAGTAGTAAATGGGTAAAGTTAATCTCAAATTTTTTTTTTCTTCCTTTTCAGGTGACTCCTAGCTAGTTTCCGTCTTGCATCCCTTAGATTTAGTAGAAATTTAAAATCATTGAAGTGACTTTGAGATTATTTCTGCATTTTATTATTCAGTACAAACAATGAAAATTACAGCATGAAACATACAATTATTTAGCACTTAAAAAGTGCATTCATGTTTCTTCTTCTCGGAGCTTCAGTCTGCCTCCGTCAGGATTCCTGACAGTTCTGGGTTCCTGTGGATTAGGACACTAACATCCACAAGAGTCCATGATGACCTAACATCATGCAATGGTTTATAATGGAGTTCAGATTCGTGCCCAGGAGAGTCTAATGCAAGAAGTCACAGCAATTAGTGAGCACATTAAATTCACAGTGTGAGTCACAAGCTGCTTTGCGCACCATGTGTGTATTGATTCATATAATCCTCATAACAAATTTAATGAGATAGACATTACTATAATTATTTGAAGATAAGCACAGGAATATAAGGTAATTTAACCAAGGCAAGTAAGATTTGTATGCCACAGACCCCTATGGGAGTTGGTGAAGCCTGTCAATTGCTTTTCAGGGAAAAAAATATGTTTGTGAATATTGTAAACAACATCAAATTAATAGGACTACCAACGAATGTCTATTGAAACATAGCACTGGCTAAAAGACACTGCTCCTCTATGGCTGTTTCTTAGCATTCAAACACTACTACCCTCTGAACTCACTGCTCAGAACTAGTGTGGTCATGACTGAGTGGAGCTGAAGGCCACGCACTCACATTTCTTCAGGTGATTGATTGCAAAGCCATTGGTGACAATTCCCATTTTCTCATATGGTATTGAGAAGACATAATTGTGGTATCATTTCACTTATTTTCTCTTCTCTGACTGAATTTCACCCATGTAAAAAGTCCCAGTAACTACTGTTGGCTCTATCTGCTGGCAACGTTTGTAGAACTTCCTCCACACCATAAACATCAAAAACAGAATGTTTGAAAATAACATTAAGAAATATTAGATATGATTGATATTTGTTAAGCATTTAGAACAAGGGTGTCTTGTCTTTTCACTATCCTGGGCCACAGTGGAAGAAGATGAATTGTCTTGGGCCACACAACATAAAACACACTAACACTAACAATAGTTGATGAACTAAAAAACAAACAAACAGAAATCACAAAAAATCTCATAATGTTTCAAGAAAGTTTATGAATTTGTGGTGGGCTGCATTCAAAGCTGTCCTGGGTCACGTGTAGGACAAGCTCGATTTAGAATATAATTCTCAAAAGACTAGAAAGTGTGAAACAAGGCCCAGGAAAGTATCTGTAACTTACGAGCCTTTTATAGACATTCTCGGGTTTTATAAAGAGATGTAGAGTTGACTGACATAACAGGGTTCCTTGAGGACAGGGACTCTGTTTTCATCTCCTTCTCCTGTATCTAATACAGTTAATGGACATGTCTATATTCAGAAGGTATTCGATGAATTAATGAATGAAATTAAAAGTGGAAGGTGGGAAATACAGCTATTAAAATAGTTGACCCATTTGGGTGATTTAAGGTCCCATCTCTCTGTCATGTCTCCCAGTGTGCCTCTCTTAAACCAATCAGTCTGACTGAAGAGAAAAAAAGTATTTCCATATTGATAGAAACTTTGCATTATCTTTATGGTATGTGAGTAGCTTCACTGCTCGGGTAGAGCTTCCAGATACATCCTCATGGTTAAGGTCAGACATATCAGGTAATGCAGAGGTCCAGAAAAAAATAATGGCCTCTATCCCTAACCAGAAATACAAATCACAGGCCATTTAAAGATCGAACTCTTCAGATGAATTGTAAAACAGATTGATAAAATGCTAGAGTTGGGGGAAAAAAGTTTTGGAGATCTTGTCAACCTCCAACTGAGAATGACATTAATGGAAATCCTTGAGCAAGAATCATTCTCTCTAGTGAGCAGTAAGTGCAGGTGTCTGAGTGGACTTATTGCGAATGGAGCAGAGCAATTGCTGTGATTGGAAATCTCAACCACAAGATATACATTAGATTGGCGCAAAAGTAATTGCTGTTGTCATCATTAAAAGCAACAGAGAAAACAGAAATTACTTTTGCACCAACCTGATATTATTCAAGCAGGACCAGAAAGGTCAGAGTGGGCTTGCTGTAGAGTATGCAGCATTATTGTCATCTAGGAGGGATGAGAAAAAAATCCCTGCTCTTGTCATGGCCAGTGAGGGATGCAATGTTATGTAAATGTTGTCTGGAATCGAGCTCCTGCTGTGGGAAACTGGGAGACTATTACTTATGATGTATTTTAGTGGAAAGGGACAGGATTCAAGGCAGAGGTCACAGAAAATTTGAGGTAAGTACGTTCTATACTGTTATTTTTTTTTTCATTTTTTTCTTTAATATTTTCCTGCTATCTAATTCAGAAGAAGTATAATTCTAAGAGCAGAAACAAGTAGCAAGACAGTTTAATTAAGGAGAAAGTTGACTTCAGTGACAAGCATAGCACAATTTTGAAGAAATTTGTACAATATCATAAAATTTTCAAAACGTATAGAATGTTTGCATAATTGACAAATATTAGCTGTGGCTTTTTGTCTTGTGTTGGAGTGTAATGTGTGCGATAGGCCTAGATATTATATTATGCACCTCTAAACACATAAAGCCAAGAATAAAAGCAGAAAAAGACAGACTACCGCTGTAATTTAATTTTGTGCACCAACCCTAGTGGTCTTCATGTAAGACCAGGGCCTCAGAATGAAGGTAAGAGTTGAGTGTCTCTGGATTCCCAACAGGAATGTTCTTCTCACCTTCAGGGGGGAAATAGTTCTAGCTTGTTCAAGAACTGACAATTGGACATAGGTTAAACAAGCCCAAATAAGAGAGGGTTTTGCTAGTGGTTTCATATTAAAGAAAATCTGATGACAAATAATGTGCTAAACCTTGGCAAAATGTTCGGTGTAAGATGTTTATGTATAGTCACACATGTGGTCTGGACCTCACACATTCAGGGAGCTTCAGTTGTGTATTTGACTGGGGCTGAAACAGAGCTATAATTTCTTGGATTCATTCAAGAGTAGAATATAAAATAAAAAACACTGGCAAGTTATAACAGATTAATAGATAGATAATAGATGACAGCTAGATAGTTGATGGATAGATAGTTGATGGATACATAAATGTAGCAACTGTAACTAAAGCTAGGAAAATAAACATGTTAGGTCCACAATGAGGTGTGCTTCATGGTACATGTGAGGAATGTTACAGCCTACCACAGTGACCCTTCAGGTGTGTCCTGGAGAGAGAGGAGAGTGTTAGGGCCTTTCTTCACTCAGAGAAACTCCAAATATAGGTGTTATATCATTTGTACTTCCAGAGATAGGATTAAAAAAAATTTGGAACTGGTTTTATTGAATGACTTCCCCTTTCGATCTATATTTTAAGCCCCCCAAAGCTAAAGGCACTTACTTAAAATCTCTGAAGAATAGATCAGAACTCCTGCAGGATTCTCACAGGTTGCATAGACCAGTGTACATGGGGACCTATTTCTACACCTTGATTCTTGTATCTGACAAGACTTGATTTGGGGATTCTCAGCACCCCCGGCCCTATTATAGTCTCTGGTTGTGCTCTGCTCCCAGTATTTGAAAGACAGATTGAAGAGAGTGTCCATTCCCTATAATGTCATCTTGGCATCTCTGTCTGAAATAATTTTACCATAAATAAATAAGTTCATTTCTGGGCTCTCTAGTCTGTTCCATTGGTCAGTGTGTCTGCTTTCATGCCAGGGCCATGCTGCTTTGATTACTATAGCTTTGTAGTATAGTTTGAAATCAGGAAATGTGATGTCTCCAGTTTTTTGTTTTTCTTAAGATTGCTTTGACTATTTAGTGTCTTCTTTGATGCCATATACATTTTAAGATTGCTTTTTCTATTTCTGTGAAAAATGTCACTGAATTTTAATAGACATTGCATAAAACACATAGATTTCTATGGGTAGTATAGACATTTTAATACTATCTATTCTTCCAATCTATGAACATGAGATGTCTTTCCATTTATTTGTGCCCTCCTCAATTTCTTTCATCAATTTTATAGTTTTCAATGTAGAGATTTTTCACCTTCTTAGTTAAATTTATTACCATGTTTTTGCAGTTATTGTAAATTAGATTACCTTCTTAATTTTGGGGAGGAATCTAATTTGTTATTAGTGTATAAAAACTCTCCTGAATTTTGTGTATAGACTTTATATCCTGCAACTTTACTGAATTTACAAATTAGTTCCAACAGTTTTTCAGTAAAGTCTTTAGGGCTGTTGAGACTTTTTATATCTATGTTCATCAGAGATGTTGATCTATACCTTTCTTTTCTTATAGTATCCTTGTTGGGCTTTGGTCTCAAGGCAAATCTGGCTTTGTAAAATGAAAAAAAAAAACCTAGATTTTATTTTGCCATCTGTAATTCTGTTTCTACCTCTCATCATTTCTTTTTTTTTTTTTTTTGAGACAGAGTCTTGCTCTGTCGCCCAAGCTGGCATGCAGTGGCACAATCTCAGCTCACTGCAAGCTCTGCCTCCCGGGTTCATGCCATTCTCCTGCCTCAGCCTCCCGAGTAGCTGGGACTACAGGCGCCTGCCACCACACCTGGCTAATTTTTTGTATTTTCAGTAGAGACGGGGTTTCACTGTGTCAGCCAGGATGGTCTCGATCTCCTGACCTCGTGATCCACCTGTCTCGGCCTCCCAAAGTGCTGGGATTACAGGCATGAGCCACTGCGCCCGGCCTACTTCTCATCATTTCTTCGTGCAGATCGAAGTTTCTGTCAGCCTCTCTCTTCTGTCTGAAACGTTTTCTTCAACACTACTTATAGTGTAGGTCTGGTAGGCCATGAATTCTCCCTCTTTTTTTCCCTTTCACTTTTTGAGGATTATTTTCATGGAGTTAAATTCCTTAGGTCACAGTTTGAACTTAAAAGGAGTCTTCCGTGGTCTTCTGGCTTGAAAGGTTTCTGAGAAGTCTGTTACAATTCTTATCTTTGTCTTATATGTATTTTTTATTTGTTGGTCATCCTCCACACACCTTCAGGATTTTCTCTTTGCTTTTTGTTCCAGCAATTTGAATAAAATATACCTAGGTGGAGTTTTTTGGATTCTTATTTGATTTATTGATCTATGTTTCCCCATTTTGATGTTTTCAAAGCTCCTTTGATCTACACCTTTGTGGCCATCAATTATCCAGGAATTCGTTGCGCCTCACTGTCTTCCCTTCTCGTGTTGGGATTCCAGTTACCCGTATCCTAGACCAAGACTGTCTCACTGCCCTCAGATGCCCTTCCTTTCTCTTGCTTTTTTCTTCATTTTCTTTTTACTGTTTGTGACCCAGTTTGGGTAATTTTTCTAAAGTTGTCTTTAAGTTTGTTGAGAGACATCCCCCTCAGCCTCTCACGTTTTCGCTCGTCTTAGTGGCCGTTATGCCGGTGACTTTTGCTCTGAAATGTCTTCCCAAGGATATTTCTAGAAGGAACAGTCCTGGGAGACAGAGACAGTGTCACTTCAGAGCCAAGAGTAGGTTTGTTTGCTGCGTTGCATAAAGACAGTGTTTTCCTTCTAGGGAAAGTTCAACAAAGGCCCTGCAACCCACTGTAACATTCCTGGTCCTCCTGCACCAGGGACTTGACTGTGATGCTCAGCCCTGTGTGTGCAGCATCCCACTGGGTTGCCATATGCCTCACGCCAGCGGGACTTGCAGGGGAGCTGCCGTGGACACAGGGGTGTGCTGTGTGCTGCACCACAAGTGAGAAACTGCCTTTGATCCCAGAACTGAATGTTTTCTGAAAATATTCATGATGTGACAGGCAACTTACAAGCTACCAGATAATGTACTATATTAGACCTTTCATAGTTGTTGAAAAAGTTCACTAGCTCTTTCTTCATCTGCGTGTTTATCACACTGTCTAAAACTGTGAAAAATCTGAGATGTTTTCCCACTGGAATAATAGGCAGATAGATTACAGAGAGATGATTGACAAGCACATAGACAATAAGATAGATAGATATTGCAAAAATGCAAGGGTCAGAGAAAAGAGTTCTTTATTGAAACAACCAGGTTAATGGCATTGTATTACTAAGTATTATTAATAGCATTGTATTATTAAGTATTATTAGTAGCAGTGTATTATCAATAGCACTGTATTATTGTATTATTAAGTAGCACTGTATCATTACTTCGCAAGGCCCAGCAAACCCACAGAGACACGCAGTGAGAACCAGACAGAGAAATTTTTACATGAGCAGTGGGTTTCAGTCTACAGACTGAAAGGGACAGATAAAAATAGGTTTTCTCCACTTGTAAACCTCAAAGAGTCTATTCCCCTAACCTCTTTTGAGAGTATTTTCTTCAAGGTGTAATAGGAGGAACATTTATCCAGCCTGTTGGTATACAAGTCTCTCCAGGGTCTAGCTAAGCCCATCTGTCTCTGGCTTTATGACTCGGAAATGGCTTTAGGGGCCAAAGCTTTGTCCATTTTGAGTGTAAAAGACTAGGGAGAAGGAGTGTGCTAGTCTCCCTGCCTCTTTGGGAGCTTAACTTAGGAGTTTATCTTAAGTTGCAACTATTTGCTTCCTGGGGAGAGAGAAGTTGATTTATTATCCTGTTAGATTCAGGCAATTAACGAAGGAAATGTCTACAGATCTTCATGGTATGTAAAAAGTAAAAAGTAAAGTGTTCTCAGGGAGCTGAGTCTTTTTATTGGAGCACTGATAACTTATTTCCCCACAGTTATGTTTACTGATGAGGCTCTCAAAAGCATTCTCTGTCTCTGTTACAGTGTGCATTTGTTTGTTTTTTAATTTCTGGAATCCCATTTAGTCATTTTGGTAGTTTCCATCACTGCCACTCTTACACATCTAATCTTGCATATTGTCTACCTTGTTTGTTAAAGTCTTTAACATCCTATTTGATTGTGTTAAATTCTTTTTCAGAGTTGCACTGTCTGTCATATTTGAGTCTGATTTTGGTGATTTCTGTCTACCAGTCTGCCATTACACTTTCCTTTTGGTATGCTGCATAACCATAATTTTCTTCTTTTTTTAAAATCTGAGCATCTGGTCTAGTCCAATAGAAATGGGGGCGAGTTGTTTTTATACCTGTAATAGATTCATCTGTTCGTTTGCTAGGCCTTCAGCACGGCAGTTTTAATTAATCTATTTTGAGTTTTAATTAATCTATTTAATTAGTCCAGTTTGATGGATCTTTCATTTGTTGCTGTCACAGCCACAGCAGAACATCACAGGCTTTGAACTTCTCTACACCTCTTAAGTCCTTCCTGATTTCTTATCTTGGGATGGGGGCTGCTTCTCCAGAGGACTCTTTCTAATGACATAGGTCCAATGTTAATATGCATGTACCTGGTAGAGCTCAGGCTGCTACCAGAAGGCACGTGGGCAGATGTAAGTGTGTGCGGAGAAGGGAGGCGGAAAAGGAGAACAGAAGTGACATTTACAGAATGCCTACGAATACCAGATATTTTAGCTGAATCCACTCGCCAACTCAGAAATGCCCCATTACCCGCATCAGATGGGCTTAAGCCCTCTTCAGAGGCGTCATGCTCATGACTTTGATAGGGCTCAGTCGTTGCCGAGTCTACTGACTCTGAAACTGACTTGAAATTCTCAGATAAAATATATTTACAAAATAGACGTTTGTATGTTTGTATGTACACTGATATATATGTTCAGTGGTTCTTGGTGGCTCCTGACTCTCTGTCACTACACTGATATGAAATATTAGAGTAAATGCTCTCAAAATGTCTAGAGCTGTCATGACATTTTAATACTCTTATTTTCAAACATGTTAAAAATTTCAACTTGATTTTTTAAAAATTTCCTTGGCAAATTTATCATGCCAGTTAGTTTCCAATAAAAGGAAATGCTAAAATACCAATAAAGCATTCCCATTAATGCAATGTTCAGGCAAAATGAAAGATGGAACTTTTAATGAAATTATTAATAAATGTCATTATGCCAATAGTAAACACCAGTATTCTCTAGCATTTAATTAATATTTTAATTAAATATTAAATTAAATTAAATTAAAGTTATAGGCGCGGTGGCTCACGCCTGTAATCCCAGCACTTTGGGAGGCCAAGGTGGGCAGATGACCTGATTTCGGGAGTTCAAGACCAGCCTGACCAACATGGAGAAACCCCATCTCTACTAAAAATACAAAATTATCCGGGCATGGTGGCGCATGCCTGTAATCCCAGCTACTCAGAAGGCTGAGGCAGGAGAAGTGCTTGAACCCAAGAGGCGGAGGTTGTGGGGAGCCGAGATCGTGCCATTGCACTCCAGCCTGGGCAACCAGAGTGAACTCCATGTCAAAAATATATATATATATATGTATATATATTTAGAAATATATATATATATATATGTATATATATTTAGAAATATATATATATATTTTAAAGGAATTGTCAAAAATGAAAGCAACGATTATTTAACATGATAGAAGGGCATCTTCAAAATGGGTTACGCTTATGAATATACATATGAAATATACATATAAAATGCTGACAAAAGAATATTAAGAAAGAAATCTTTATTAAAACATAAAACTTTAAAAATTATACTTACTAAAATCAGGACTGTGTTCTTACAGTTGCTGGGCATCTTTATGATTAAAACTATACTAAAATGCTACAATGAGTATTCTTGGTATCTATATTTAGAATTGTTTTTAAATGTTGACCAGGGGAACATTATAAATGATCACACTGTTGAAAATTGGTCCTGTCTTCTCCAATTTATCTACCTAAATTTTATCGACAGAGAAGGTTCTTAAATCACTACCTGGTGTAAGGAAGCACTAATTGAATTCCATACAACAAATGTGTCACCAACCAAATGTGTCTGGGTCAGAAATAAGTGTCGACGTGCCAAACACCATGTTAAACACAACAAATGCTTTATCTTATTTCTACAGGTGCACATTTTACCAAAACCCTCACCCATGACACTAAAATCATTGTCTGACCTTCCACTTTTATGATTGTGTTACAGCATCTTAAAAGCATTTTTAAACTATATAAATGAGTGTTGTGTACATGTATATATACTTACACAAATATACACATATATAATATTAAATATATATAAGTAAAATATATAAATGAATATTGCTAAATGCTAAGTCATTAAGCATTGAACAACACTATAATTGAAGAACAGATGCTCACTCTTTTTCCTCTGTATCCACCTTGTATAAAAAGAAAGCTAACATTACAGCAGTCCCCATTTATCTATGAAGGATATATTCCAAGTCCCCCAGTGGGTGCCTGAAACTGCAGGTAGTAACAAACCCTCTATATGCTATGTTTTTTCTTATCCATACGGACCTAAGATACAGTTTATAAATTAGGCACAGTAGGAGATTAACAACAGTGACTAATAATACAGGGGAACAATTATAAAAATATGCGGCAATAAAAGGTATGCAGAATGTGCTGTCTCTCAAAATATCTTATTGTGCTGTACTCACACTCCTTCTGGTGCTGATAGGAGACCATATGATGCCTACATGATAAGATGGATTGGGGTGAATGACACAGACACTGTGAGGTAGCAGTTAAGCTAGCATTGCCCTTCTGATGATATATCTGTGTGATGGTTAATACTGAGTGTCAACTTGATTGGATTGAAGGATGCAAAGTATTGATCCTGGGTGTGTCTGTGTGGGTGTTGCCAAAGGAGATTAACATTTGAGTCCGTGGGATGGGGAAGGCAGACCCATTCTTAATCTGGTGGGCATCATCTAATCAGCTGCCAGCGAATATAAAGCAGGCATAAAAATGTGAAAAGGAGAGGCTGGCCTAACCTCCCAGCCTATGTCTTTCTCTCGTGCCAGATGTTTCCTGCTCTTGAACATCAGCCTCCAAGTTCTTCAGTTTTGAGAGTTGGACTGGCTCTCCTTGCTCCTCAAGCTTGCAGACAGCCTACTGTGGGACCTTGTGGTTGTGTAAGTTAATACTCAGTGAACTCCCCTTTATATATGTATCCTATTAGTTCTGTCCTTCTAGAGAACCCTGACTAAGGGAACCCTGATTAATACAATCTGCTTTCCATGACCCAGAATCATGGAGCCATGATAATGTCAATTTTTTAGATGCCAGGAGCAGACAATGTCAATGGTTGGGGCTCCTCAACAGTTAAAGGATTGTTCCCTGAAACCTTTTGGAAGACCATTGTGATCAGAAGTTATCATCTCTTTTTAGCTCATCAAACTGTTGCTTTGCTGGTTGTAATCTTTTGCTGATCGTAAGTGTGATATTAATGCTGTGTTCCATTCTGAGATTGTACGTCATAATTTTGCCATTTAATGTGTGCAATTTGAAGGACTTTGGCAAATTTTGGCAATGTCCACATGGCTGGTTCTGCTTCCATTTCTTCTTCCTCTTCCTGTTTCTCTGTAGATTACTCAACAAGTTCTTCCAATTCCTCATTCATTAGTGCTTCTCCATGGCCCTCAACATGTTCTTCCACTTCTTCAAGTATGTTGGCAAATCCCTCTTCATCAACTTGGTTTCCTGCATGAATGATTTTCCTAACTTCTCCACCAATCCTTTGAAGACTTTAAAAGGATTCACAGTGTCATTGCATAAGTTCTTCCAGCAGGCATTTACAGTTTCTGGTTTTAATTCATCCATTGCAGCTTTGAGGAATGTTATTGAACCAGCAATAGTGAATAACTTTCCGCATTAAGGTCTTCACCAATTGCTGGTCACATGTAATCAAAGACCAGCTGGGTGAATGTGGCTTTGACAAATCACGTGATGTCTCAATCAAGGGACTGAAGCAATGAGCCAGTATTTGAAAGTAAAAATACAACTTGGCATTTTTATTTTCATAGGCAACACATTCAGATGGCCAGGTGCATTCTCTATTATTAATAGGACTTTAAATCTCAGCCCTTCATTTTCCAAGTTTTTTTTGTTTTGTTTTGTTTTGTTAGTTCTGGGGTGAAACATTGGTGCAAAGATTCCATAAAGAAGACGGCTGTCATCCACGCTTTCTGATTACGTTGCCAGAACATGGGCAGGAAATTTTTGGTTTCATTTTTGAGAGCATGTGGGTTCTTTGCTCTGTGCCTGCATCCAGCTTCATCACCTGTCTCGCAATGTTGCTGCCCAGGTTCAAGGTGAGTGTGTCCTTCCGTGTTTGACGCCCTGGTGCTCCTTTGCACTTCAGAAATGTAGGTCCTACTGGGCATTTCCTTCCAGAGGAGCCCCAGTTGCAGCACAGTTGAAGTCTTGCTTTGGATGGTATTCTTTCTTTTGAGTTAACTTCTTCATCTCTGCTGTAAATGTGGCAGCAGCTTCTTCATCAGCAGACATGACCTCTCCAGTAATGTTTGGTTTTTTCAGTCCAAACTTACTTCTGAATTTGTACAACCATGCTTTCCTTGCAGACAATGGCCTTGCTGAAATTTTCATATGGGCTCGATGCTTTCTGACACAAACATTACTGTCAGGTGGAATACATTTCCTGTTCTTATCTTCCACCCATGAGTTTCACTAAGAACTTATCACTCACTGCGGCCATGACTTTTGCAGTCTGATGTGTGACAGCAAAATCAGCCTGGATTTATTTCCGATTCCTTCACAATTTCATGGATAGAAAATTCACTTACCATAGATTTTAGCAACCTCAGCATATATTTTTTTCTTATTAAATCAAGAAATTTCACTTTTTCATTTAAAAGAAGCACTTATGGCTTCTATTTGGCATATCTGAATTGCCAGCATCATTACTCTAGTGCTATGGGGCCATTATCAAGTAAAATAAGGGTGACTTGAACAGGAATACTGCAGTGCCAGGACAGGAGGTGTGATTGTCGAGACAGACATTCGGTGACTCACAGGCGTGTGTGGTACGTGGCGTGGATCTGCTGCCGTGTGTGGTACGTGGCGTGGATCTGCTGCCGTGTGTGGTACGTGGTGTGGATCTGCTGGGCATAGGGATGATTTATGTCCTGGGTTGGACAGGATGGGATGGTGTGAGATTTCATCGGGCTGCTCAGAACAGCACACAGTGTAAAGCATGTGAATTGTTTATTTCAGGAATTTTCCATTTAATATTTATAGATATTTGGCAGACCACGCAGAAGGAAACCATGCAAAGCAAAACTCTGGACGGGAAGGACTGCTGTAGCAATAAGGCATGGACATGCCCTGTGCAAAGTTAGTGGCAAGAGCCATTCTTAAACCGGGGAAAGAAGGCGCTATTGTTACATGTAGTTATCACTGGAACCAAAGGTGGATGGGGGACTGTGATAGAAAACGTGGGTCTGGTTTTGGTTCTGCTGATAGATAACTGCGAGATATTTCCTGTATCTTTGAATTTTTATGGCTTTAATTACTTTGTTTTTAAAATGAGGATATCAGAGAAGATGGAGAAAGATTTTCCAAGACTGACTTATTTACACAAAACAGTGATAAAATCTTAAGGAATTATAGGTAGCTACCTAAGGGCATAGGAGAATGATAAAATTATAAACTTCGATGGGGAGTGCACACTTAGAAGAGGAGGGTACCAAGGTCCTCTTTAAGGGCATTTAACCCTGTGCTAAGGGCAGTTGACATGTATGAGTTGGCAAGACAACTAACAGAAAACTTACTGAGGCCTTTCTGCCTAGAAAAACCTGAAAATGGATATTGGGGAATGCATGAGTTCTAGAGAGAGTGGTGAAATCCTGTACATAAAAGATACAGACAGAGTTCCCAAACTCTCCAAAAGTTGTCAGTGACTGATCATGGAAAAATGCATGGGTGAAAAAACTCAAGGCAGTTCAATTAAAGCTGGAATATCTAAATTGAGACTAGAGCCGCCACCTAAGGTTTTTCAGTTCAAGTTCAGTTAAGATTATCATTCATAAAACCAAATAATCAACAGGCATAAGATGAAAAGAACAAAAGTAAATCCTCCCAATTTAACCACCACAATGTCTAAGATACAATCCAAAATTATCTGGCATGTAAAGAACTAACACAATAGAATATATTTTCCGTAGAAAATAAAATGGACCTAAATTCAGATGTTGAAATAAGGCAGACAAGGATTTTAAAGAGGTTATTCTAATTTGTATTTAATGAAGTAAAAGAAACTGTGCTTTCAATGAATGAATAGGAAATCTCAACACAGTAATAGAACTGGAAAAATGCAGAGTCTGACTTAGAAAATAAGAAAATTATTAGATAGATTTAGCAGCCAAAGGGAGGTGATAGAGAAAAAAAAATGTGCGGAATACATAGTACTGTCTCAGCCAAAATAGTGATATGAAATGTTCCAGAAATGTGGTAAATGTGGTTAAAGGTTAGTTTGTGGTGGGACTCAGGCAGAATAATTTTAGGAAAAAATATATATGAAGATTCACGATCTAGAAATCCATTTCCATAATATCACCCATATCACCTCCCTTTGTGAACCTCACGTACATTTTTAAACATAGATTTAGATAGGGGTGGGCGTAGTATGTCCTAGAAGGCAGGTCCCATCTGTAGGCTGTTGCTGTACAGCCCTCAGGCTAAGAATTCTTTTTACATTGTTAAGTCCTATCTATTTATTTAATGTGACAGTTAATACGCAGACAACAAAACCTAAATTATTGACTATGTGGCCCTTTAAAAAATGACTTTGATAATATCCAGCACCTTTTGGTTATAAAACTCTTCGTTTTTGGAGAATAGACAATTCCAAAGGTTATATGTATTCAGAATAGAAATGCTGAAAAATTTTCATCATATAAGAGAGGACCCGGGGTATAGGGTAAGAGGAAAAGCGAGCTGAGCTGTGGCTCCGAGATGCCTCTGTATTCACGGCGAGATTGTCGTGGGGGTCTGACCAATAATGCCGGGAGGAGATGCTGCAATCAGAGTCTTCCATGTGAGGGAAGAGATCCAAATTCCCCGGGAGGAGGCTTGGGTAATGCTGGCAATGAGGTGACTCAGTGCACTGCATGGCCTTTTTGGTAGGAAGATCAATGCAGGTTCATATTTTCAGTGATAATTCGAATGCACACAAATAACAAACTACTTAAGAAGCTTTTTGGTTTACTTATCATTTGTATGGCTAGATCATTCCCTGGCTCTTATTAGCACAGAATAAAATGGTTTTCAAAAAAATAAATAAATGGTCAGAAGTCAATCAACTGGCATCAAAGTATTAATATTCAATAACAGATAGTTATCTTTCATAATCCTATTTTATTTATTATTATTATTTTGAAACAGAGTTTTGCTCTTATTACATAGGCTGGGGTGCAATGGAGAGATCTGGGCTCACTACAACCTCCCCCCTCTCCGGGTTCAAGCGATTCTCCTGCCTCAGCCTCTTGAGTAGCTGGGATTACAGTCACCCGCCACCACACCTGGCTAATTTTTGGTATTTTTAGTAGAGATGGGGTTTCACCATGTTAGCCAGGCTGGTCTGGAACACCTGACATCAGGTAATCCACCTGCCTCAGTCTCCCAAAAGGCTGGGATTACAGGGGTGAGCCACTGTGCCCAGCCACAATCCTATTTTATATGTAGCAAAATTTAAAGGGATATTTACAATGTCTAATAGTTCTTAGTTCTCATAAACCAAGTGTGTTACAGTCTACCTTTATTACATTTTCCATTTGCTTTTGATATGCAGGGACTACAGATTGTGAATGGAAAAATATCTTTTTGTCATCTTTATCGAATCACGGTTTGCAACTATTTTGTATGCCCCTGTAGATTTGATGACCCCCTTATTTGGAAGAATGCTTTTGGCGAATTGATTGGTTTGATGTGATAGTCTCTGTGATTTTAATAGAGTTATTTAGGAACCTGTTTTGTTTAATTTCATCTACTGAATATTGCCTAACACCAAGTATAGGGGCACACATATGTAATTTAACCAAAGATAAATGTTTGACGACCTAAAATATTGCAACAAAAAATTGTAATTAATTGCTTAATATAAATTACAATTAATTTGACATTGAAAATATTTTAAGTTATTTTTGCAATTGGTAGAGGACACTGATGACTTTTACTTTCTCTTCATTGACAATGAGGTCCAATGTGGCTAAGACTGTGACTTCGTTTTGCTGATATACTTTGCACAAATATTCCATTCAGAAACACTTGCTAACATACTTGAAAATATTCTTTTCAAAGATATTTTAAGCTAGGACTGGTGTGGTGGCTCATGCCTGTAATTCCAGCACTTTGGGAGGCTGAGGCAGGCGTATCACTTGAGTTCAGGATTTCAAGACCAGCCCGGGCAACATGGCGAAACCCCCTCTCTATAAACAAAAAGAAAAAAAATAAGATATGTTAAACTTGACCTTCATGGAAGACAGTGAATAATTATGACATTTTAATTCTCTAGACTGCATTATAGTATATTTTAATTGCATTCTTTGAGTTCATTTAGAACTCAAAATTGAATGTCTAGAAACTGGTCAAGGGATAGAGGAAATACCTTTTTTTATTTATTTATTTATTTTTATTTTTTTGGAGGCAAAGTCTCCCTCTATCGCCCAGGCTGGAGTGCAGTGGTGCGATCTCGGCTCACTGCAACCTTCTCCTAGCTGGTTCAAGCAATTCTCCTGCCTCAGCCTCCTGAGTAGCTGGGACTACAGGCGCCCGCCATCATGTCCGGCCAATTTTTTTGTATTTTTTAGTAGAGACTGGGTTTCACCATGTAGCCGAGGCTGGTTTTGAACTCCTGAGCTCAGGCAATCCACCCGCCTCGGCCTCCCAAAGTGCTAGCATTACAGGCATGAGCCACCGTGCCTGACCTCCATTCCTACTTCTTTATATTGTAATGTGAGAATTTGAGATTCATTATTAACCAAAGAATTCAGTAAAATGCTTTCCTTGGGCACGTTAGCAGCATCCATGGTAGCAACCACACCAACAATGTCATACACCAGACTGCAGCTCAAGGGAAGCCATGTCCTTGCACTTGATCACAAGTCCCAGCAGCTTTCTTAACTTCCAAAGACTGAACTTGGGACATCTGGAGCTCAAGCAGCAATTTTCATTAAAAAATTTAACAGAGAGCTCTTCCGTAGATATGCCAGTTCTTGGTCTTGCACGCATTCATTTGTTGTAGATTAGGAATGTGTATATTATATGCACTTAAGAAAAAAATCTAAAGAAAAATACATTCTCAAGCGGAATCAGAGAGGGTTTCCTGAGTAGATTCTCGTTATTAAAATTGCCACATGCAGATTATATAATTTATATGCATGTATCAAAAGTATAATTTACTATCACGGTGGAATGCCTCAAAACTTTAAAAAGTATGACTTTGAAGAGAATGAAAGGAGTTTTGACTCTGCAGAAAATAACATGAATAATTCGACAGAAGCTGTAAATTACTCCCATTTTTCACTGAGCTTTTGCATTAAAATAGGCAAATTAGATTCTACACTTTTTCCCCTACACAGATGGAAAATATGACCACTAAATTCATATCGTTTTAACTAGTGTCATCCCCCAGTGATTAAGATGTGCCTTCTTCAAGCATCAAAACACAGGCTGAAACGTGGAGTTTCCAGAGAGAAGATTTTTCCTGGTCTCATAAACAAAAATGACTGTAACTTCTGTAATAAGAACACATCATGACAAATATGTCTTTTCAAAGGTAATGGCAGACCCAGGGAAGCATTGCAAGAAAGGAACATCAAAATGTGTGAAAATCATGCTGCATCTTTTTTATTTCTGGGAAATAATAATCTGCAAAAAATAATAACAACTTTAAGCTTAACTATTGGTATCATTTTAAAACAAATTCAAAAAATAACACCGCTAGTCCAAGTGGTTCCTGTGCTATTTGAAAATAGACATCGCAGGCAGAGCAGGTGCTGGTGCAGGCTGGGTTGCCAGCCCGGCCCACGTGGGTGCGAGGGCATCCTGTCTCCATGGCTCAACGGAGGCGCCTCCAGCTAAAAGGACAGCCAGGGAATGCACCATGGACAGGTCAGTGAGTCCCAAGGCAGAGTGCAAGGGAAGCTTCAAAAAGTATACCACTGAACTACTTTCTGCCTTGCAATCAGAAAGACAGACATCTCAGACCTCATCCTGTGTTTCAAGGTGGCGGTTTGGGAAGGGACTGGTTCATTCGAAGCTGTCTGCCACGGGGGCTTCTGGGGGACAGACACTGAGAGGTTCACTTCACATGGAGAATCTGGGCCTTTGTGCAGCCACTCACCAGCTGCGGACTCTTCGCCAAGCTGCTCAGCCTGGTCGTGCCTCAGTTGCTTCCTCTGTAAAACAGGAGCAATGATGGTGCTTGCCTCTTAGGTTTGTCTTGAGAAGCACATTAAGCTGATTTTTGCCGCTCCACAGTTAACAGCAGAGCCTGACAGATGGAAGGATGAGGTGGGCTATTTAGGCTACATGTGTTTGCTAAAGAAACTAAACAGACTCCACAGAAGAGCCATTTGCACCCCTCTGTCTTAAACACCCTTATGGGACGTATATCCTACCCTCTGTCAGAAACCAGTATCAAGATTTCTCAATATGAAACACAGTGCCAGGGCCAGAAGTCAGAAATAAGGCTGAAATTGGGCGGGCACGGTGGCTCATGCCTGTGATCCCAGCATTTTGGGAGGCTGAGGTGGGTGGATCACGAGGTCTAGAGTTCAAGACAAGCCTGGAAAATATGGTGAAACCCCGTCTCTACTGAAAATACAAAAATTAGCTGGGCATGGTGGTGGGCGCCTGTAATCCCAACTACTTGGGAGGCTGAGGCAGGGAACCGCTTGAACCCAGGAGGTAGAACTTGCAGTGAGCCAAGATCATGCGCCACTGCACTCCAGCATGGGAGAAAGAGCAAGACACTGTTTCAAAGAAAAAAATAATAAAGAAAGAAATAAAAAATAATAAAATAATAAATAAATAAAAACACCAAGACTGAGATTTCTTAACTATTTTAGGGCCATTCATTTTAACACTGTCTCTCCAAACTTTTCAAGGAGCACAGTAAGTTTCGGGCACAACCCCTTTGTGCCCCATTATAATCTATGAGGAATTTAATAAAATTCTATTTATTTGGTTCTACTATAATGAAAATTAACATTTTTTATTTACACGAGGCTTCGTTAAATTTAATCACATCATATAGCTATTTCAAGAAGATTCTCTATAAATACACACATATAAGCCCTCAGTACCATCCAACTAAGAATATCTACTGGATTACTGGATTTCTTTCTTTCTTTTTTTTTTTTCTGGAATTGGGGTCAACATTTCATTCCATAAAATAGGATGTGTGTTCCTGACAACTGAATGGTTTCTGTTTTCCCATTGTTTGTTTGCATTCTTTGTGTTATTTCTTGGCACGTGGAAAACAGAAGAATAAAAGGAAATTTTCAAGGTTTAAAAACAGTTATTGAAAGGAAAATGTAGAGTAGAAAGTGTTTCCACACTTGAGTTGATCAAAGGAAAAGTCAGGATTGGGAGGGAAATGGAAAGGCATGAAGAGGAGAGAGAGCTGTCACGTATTCCATGCGCAAGTCAGCAGCATTCATGGAACAACCACACCACTTGGGGAGGGAGGTGGAGAGAAGAGGAGTGGCTCTGGCTGAATGAGTCTGGGCGTGTGCAGAAACGGACAGGAAGGGGCACCCTGGCAGGCAACACCAGTGCTCGGGAAGGGCATGAAGACTTAATGTGGCTACTGGGGCTGTCGACAGAAGTTTATTCATGAGATTAGTTAGTTAAATCAATGAGAATCAGTGACTTCTTCCAGGGCTAGCAGAGGTAAAGGAGAAGTCAATATATTAAATGAGCCACAACCATATCACCAAATGCAAACAGAGCGGGCATGGCTGTGGTAATGAGACAAACACTAATATGCAGCTGAGATTCCAAAATATTTTCTCTGTGTTGAACAAGCAGTAGTGATGGTGGGTAGGGGGGCCATCCGGAGTGATCTTGAGCCTGGATGGATGCACCCAGGCTCAGCCTTAATGAGTAGGTGGCCTGCAGGATGAGGCACAGGAAGCTTGGAATGATTCTGTAAACAGAAATTCTTCATAGTGAGAGAAATAGCATGAGCCTCATAAGGGCAACTTTCAACCAAAATAGGGTGTCGGCTGTGGTTACCTTGAATGCTTTCAAACGACCATTAAACATTTTACCATATTCAGGAGGGTTTCCATTTTTTGGCATAGTTAAGGAGTTGCATTAAAACAAAGAAAGGAAGAAAAAGGAACTTCCAATTTGTTAATAGGTTTATTTCAGTACCAAAACTTTCTTTAACAGCCATTTGATTAGCTTCATAGAATTATATTTTATAATTAAATGTACCTATACTAAGTGTAGAGTGAGGGGACATTCTAATGAATATTCATATCCATATAACCACATGTCAATCAAGAAATAAAACATTTCCATAATTTCAAAATGTTCTCATGCCCCTTCTCCCAGCTCCTGCGCAAATACTGATCAGCTTTCTGGTACTGTATTTGAGCTTTTTGTCTTTTCTAGGATTTCTATATAGATAGTATCATTGAGCATGTTTTACTTCATGCCTAACTTGTATTATTCAGCATAAGATTTTGGTATGACCTTTGTCATTGTGTATTGGTGGTGTGTTTACTTTATTGTAGAGCAGTAATCCAGTCCCTAGATAATCATTTACATAGTATTCTTTCTGAAATGTGCTGAATTTTACTTGAGTACCTAAAATGTGCTTGCCATATTCTGTATCTTCAGAATATGCAAAATAAATAAATAAATAAATAAATAAATAAACAAACCTCTAAAGCAGGCCAGGCACAGTGGCTCATGCCTGTAATCCCGGCACTTTGGGAGACTGAGGTGGATGGATCACTTGAGGTCAGGAGTTCAAAACCAGCCTGGCTAACTTAGTGAAACCCTGTCTTTACTAAAAATACAAAAATTAGCCAGGCACGGTGGCACACACCTGTAATCCCAGCTACTTGGGAGGCTGAAACATGAGAATCACTTGAACCCGAGAAGCAGAGGTCGCAGTGAGCTGAGATCACACCACTGTGCTCCAGTCTGGGTGACAGAGCGATGCTCCATCTCAAAAAAAAAAAAAAAAAAAAAGGTCTAAAGTACTGTTTTATACTTTAGTTAAACTTGACCCTTAGCATAAAATAAGATTTTCATTGTGATGTCAAGTAAATATATACATACATATAAATATGTAATTATAAACATATAATCATATAAACATATACATAAACACAAAAGGGCTTATATAATTGAAAAATCTTACCAAACCATCACAACCTTTGTTATTTAAAGTACTCTGTATGTTGATCTATTCTATTCTGTCGCAAAAACAAATGATGGTTGTGAACCTCTATAATGTTTTCGAAACCCATTGATGGGTTATGGTGCACCATTTGAAAAATACTGATTTACAATACCTTTTATTTTTAATTTTTTTTAACTTTTGTTTTAAGTTCAGGGGTAAAAGCAGGTTCGTTACATAGGTAAACTTGTGTCATGGGGGTCTGTGGTAGAGATTATTTCATCACCCTGCTATTAACCCTAGTACCCATTAGTTATTTAATATTTTTCCTGATCCCTTCCCTTCTCCCACTCTCCACCCTCCAAAATGCCCCAGTGTGTGTTGTTCCCCTCTATGTGTCCATGTGTTCTAATTATTTAGCTCCCACTTAGAAGTGAGAACGTTCGGTATTTGGTTTTCTGTTCCTGCACTAGTTTGCTAAGGATAATGGCCTCCGCCTCCATCCACGTCCCTGAGAAGCAAGTGATCTCACCAATAGCTCCAGTGATAACTAGGCCCTTGTCCTGCTGCCCACAGCCTTGCATTCCTGAGCTACTGAGAATTTGCTGGGTATCAAAGCCATCCAATCATTATGCTATTAGATGAAACTCTCCTTCTTCTTCCTTGCATCGGGTGATCTATTTTCATCCACTCAGTAAAAACTACCTTTCCCATATGGTTAGGCTTTGTGTCCCTACACAAAATCTCATCTGGAATTGTAATGCCCATCACCCCATAATCCCCACATGTCAAGGGCAGGACCGAGTGGAAGTGATTGGATCATGGGGGTGGTTCCCCCCGTGCTGTTCTCGTGATAGTGACTGAGTCTTACGAGATCTGATGGTTTTAGAAGCCTCTGGCATCTCCCCTGCTTGTGCTCATCCACCCCGCCAGCCTGTGAAGAAGATGCCTGCTTCTCCTTTGTCTTCCGCCATGATTGTGAGTTTCCTGAGGCCTCCCCAGCCATGCGGAACTGTGGGTCAATTAAATCTCTTCCCTTTATAAATTACCCAGTTTCGGGTATTTCTTAATAGCAGTGAAGGAATGGACGAATACACTTTCCTACTCTTTTGCCTCACTTGAAGTATAATCCTTTGAGTTGTCAGTCTGTCTTACAATTTTTTATTTGGGGAATGTTTTGCAGGCTCCTGTTCCAATCTGAACCTTTGTTACATGCAGTTATGGTTGCAAAGTGTCTGAACTGTAGACACATCTGATGGTCATGCATATTAATTTCCTCTTTCTAAGTAAATAGCGCTGACTGCCAAGTTAGATTTTACTTTGTGTAAATAATTTTCCATTTTTTCTTCCAATATAATTTTGCATTTTAAACCTTACAGGATTCTATCCGTGTGGAGCATTTCTTACACTGTTTAGATGCCCAGAGCTAGTGAACTAAAGGAATGCATTGCATTTCAGAAAGATAAAGATTTGTGCTGTTTCCTTAATAACTTTGTGTGAATCTGATCAAGGCAAAGACCATATAGGATTCATTTGTTCTGTAATGTGACTCCAGGAGAATGTATGGCACACAGGAGATGCCTGGTTAATGCTGAATGAATGTATCTGGCAATGCAATTACCTTTTTATTTTCTGTCTGCTGAAATTCCTGGAGAAAATAGTAGTGCTGCATGAGTGCTAACATAAAGCAGAGTGCACTGTTTGGAGGCCAGCTTTCTAGGGGTATCTCTGACTCTGCCACCTGCCAGCTTTGGGGTCTTGAGAAGAGTCATTAATCTACTGGGTCTTAGTTTCCTCTTCTATAAAATGTGCATAATAGTAGGTATCAACTCAAAATGGTGCTGTGATATTTAAATATGTTGACATATGTAAAACAAGAGAAAATTTGGCAAATAGCAAATGCTGCATAAATGTTAAATCTTATTATTATCTATTTATACATTCTTGGGCTTTCAAAATATCAATCTAAAGGGCTTGATATGAAGAAAAATGCTGTATTTTTAGTTCCTAGTTTCCATAAACCTTTCTGTGGCTTTATGTTGTGTTTCAGAGTCCTAATTCAATCTGATTTTGTTTTCCCTGGGGAAATAAATAAATAAATAAACTGATTATTTTTACTCTGGTATTTTTTTTCCAGAATGGAATATTTGTGTATAAACTTAAACAAGGAGAGGTGTTCCAATATTCAGGCTTGATCTTTGCTGATGTTCACCCTCGAGATGATGGTGACCTTGGCTTTTTTTTGTGCATAACCTGTTGCCATGTTTCTCTTTGGGATTAACTATGATAAGGAGAAGATTAGATCCAACATTGTCCTCTATTTTATGGTTTAGAACTCCTTGAAGCCAGAACTATCTCATCTACTTTTAGTTATCAATATGCAAATGCCTCCCCATACAAATAGTTCAATATATTTTTGTTAAAAAATAAAATTGGTTATTGAGATTTGTGAAATTCTTAAATAGAGACTCCACCGTCATCCTTACGGCAATTCTCATGTTCCTCGCAGAATAGAGAGCCAAGAAGTAAACCCACACATGCATGATCAACTGCCCTTCCTCAAGGAGGCCAAGAATACCCAGTGGAGAAAGGACATCACTTCAGAAAACAGTGCTGGGGAAACAACTGTATATTCACCTGCAGGAGAATAAAATTGGGCTCCAATTTTGCACCATACACAAAAATCAACCCAAAATCATTTAAACACTTAGGTGTGATACCTGAAGCAGTAAAACTACTAAAAGAAAACATTAAGAAAAAGCTTCATGACATTGGTCATGTTAATGATTTCTTAGATACGATAGATAATAAAAGCACAAGCAACAAAAGCAAAACTAAACAATAGGTCTAGATCAAACTGAACAGCTTCTGCACAGCACAGGAAACAACAAGAGAGTGAAAAGGCAACCTAAAGAACGTATGGAATGGGAGAAGACATTTGTAAACCATAAGTAAGATAAGGCATTAATTTCCAAAATATATATGGAGCTCCTGCAACTCAATAGCACAAACACTAATAACCCAATTAAAAATGGGCCAAAGGTTTCAATAGACATTTCTCACATACGTAGTAGTCTGTACTCACACTGCTAATAAAGACATACCCGAGACTGGGTAATTGATAAAGGAAAGAGGTTTAATTGACTCACAGTTCCACATGGCGTGGGAGGCCTCACAGTCATGGCAGAAGGTGAATGAGGAGCAGCGTCCCATCTTACATGGCAGCAGGCAAGGGAGTGTGTGCAGGGGAACTCCCCGTTATGAAACCATCAGCTCTCATGAGACTTCTTCACTACCACAAGGACAGTGTGGGGGAAACCATCCCCGTGATTCTGTTATCTTCACCTGGGATTGCAAAATGGTACAGCTAGTATGAAAAACACTATGGACATTCCTCTAAAAAATAAAAACAGAACTAACATAAGATCCAGCAATCCCAATTCTGAGTATTTGTCTAACAAAATGGAAATCAGGATCTTAAGAAGACATCAGCACCCCCCATGTGTTTAGCAGTGTTATCCACAATAGCATAGCCAAGACATGAAAACAGTCTAAATATCACGTACGGATGAATAGATTTTTAAAAATGTGGCATACACATACAATGGAATGCTTTTCAGCCTTAAGAAACAAGAAAAGTCTACAGCTTGAGACAACATGGTTGAACCTTGAGGTTATCGTATTAAGTGAAATAAGCCAGTCACAGACAAAGGCTGCATTATTCCACTTATATGAAGGGATCTAAAGGAGTGAAACTCAAAGGATCAGAGTAGAAGGTGGTTTCTGGAGGGAGCAGAAAGGGGCGAGTTACAAATTACAAAGTTTTCATCAAGCAAGTTCTAAAGACCTGCTGTTCAGCATTGGCCCATAGTCAATACCACTGTATTGGGTAGTTAAACATCTGTAAACAGGGTGGATCTCATGCTAAGTGTTCTTATCATGATAAAATAAAAAAGAAAGAAAGAAAAAGCAAAAATGACCAAATACTGCAGTGTCAACACACTAAGCAAGTATAGAAGTCCAAAGAAAATAATTCAGAGCTGAGGAGGAACTAAAACTTTGATGGGATCACAGGAGAACAACCCTGATGTCAGACTTAGGTCCTGTAGCAAAAGACTCAGTGAGATCAAAGGGAATTCTGTGAAGACTAATTGGAGGTGGGGTGCTAAGGCAGCGGGGAGAGGCTTTGATGGCAGCTGAGATACGGGGAAGATGCCTTTGCACTGGACACCTCCACGGCCTCCCTGCCTCCTGGGGGACCTCAGGCTGTTTCGAGTCACCCAGGGCTCTTGCATCCTGCCTGCCTTCGTCCCCAACCACCACCTACAGTTTACATTACCACGAAAAAGAAGGCATAGAATTAGCAGCTAAAAACGACACCTGCTTATTAGCTCATGAATCTCTGGGCCAGAAGTCCGGGGGCTTGGCTGGTTCTATGTTAAGAGAATCCAGAGGCTCACACCCGGACATCAGCTGGGCCGGGCTCTGGTCGGGGATCTGGTGAATAACCCAGCTGAACTCAGTCTGGAGTGGGCTGAACCCGCACTCAGGTGGTAGGGCTGATGGTCTCTTTTCCATGCTGACATCATCGAGGACGTTCTGGGCCCCCCAGCTGCTCAAAGTCTCATGCAGCCCCTCCTTCTTCAAGCCAGCAAGGGAGTGTTGCATCCCCCAAATGCTTCAGCTCTGGCTACTTCCTCTTCTCCCATCTGTGGCAGACAATGCTCCAAAGGTTCAGCTGAGACCTGACTGGCTCAGGACCCTTGTCCAATCCCATATCCTACAGCCAAGTGACTTAGGACCTTGGTTATACCTGCAAGACCCTTGTATCTCTGTCCTAGACTCATGCTGATACGGTGACCAGAGGGCAGTGTTCGTGGGGTGGAGAGGTGCTGCTTTAGCCTGGCACGACCCTTCCCCAAAATGGGAGAGAGAGGGAGTCTTTTCAACATTGTTTCATTTTGTTGGATTTTTAAATATCCTACTTTTCCACATTTCAAGGAGTTATACAAAATAAAAAAGAGAAAACTTCTGGAGTCATTGTTTGAGGGAATTATAATCTTGATACCAAAATTGGGCAAGCAAAGAACAAGTGCAGGTGATTAAAGGCAAAGTCTTTCATGGATGTATTCTTAGATGATCAATGCAAGAGACATGAATTCAATAGTGCCTTAAAAATGCACCATGTACAAGTAGGGTTTATATCATGAGTGCAAGGATTATTCAACATCCGTGCATCTGTCAACTCAAATCACCACATAATTTATTAAATGGTAATAGCCATCTGATCATTCATCTAAAAGCAAAGGAGCATTCAATAGCAATCAGGAGTCATTTATGATAGTAAAAAATATTTCTAGCCTATGAATACCAGGAAACTTTTTCAAGATGATAAAGAAAATCAACAAAAACATTACATTTAAGAAGAAACCAGGGAAGTCACCATCACTCATCTATCTGCTCAGCATGGTATGAGAGGTTTTTATTAACGGAGAAAAAGTCTTGAAGTTGGACAAAGAATAGGCAATGGCACCACTATGTACAAAAGATGTGACTGTATACAGAGAAAATACAAGAAAATCTACCTTTCAGGACCTCCAGGTATTGTTCTTCTACTGGCATAAGGAATCAATTACTCTGTCAGTCTATATGATTGTTATTTTTTGCATAGCATATATCCATCTTATGTGACTTTTCACTAAGAAAAAAAAACACATCAGTTTTATTAGGAAAAAGTGAATCCAGGAGACTGTCTTTCCTGCTCACAGTTCTGGAAAATGAGGACTCCTTCTAAAAGCTGGAAAAATAGTGCCAGGGTTCACATATAACAACAATATAGAGAAAGAATCTCAAAGGATCCTACTAAACAAAATAATGTACTAGGATACAGAGACTTTAAAGGATCCTACAAATTAAATGGAAATGCAGTAAAAGGATAACATAGAGAGTAGTTCTTTATGAAGGCAACATGGCATTGATGTACACCAAGAGTCTAGGAGATTTGAAATTAAACATTGGAATTAGGAATCGGAATTAAAAATAAGGAATTAAGAGTTGGAACTGAAAAAAGGATGGAGCGGGCAGGAGTGTGCACCCATCCCCATACATCAAACCTCCACCAGGAGAGTACAGTGGGGACACATCTAGTGCAGTAAGGACACCTTACTCCTGAGAGAGATGTTGACAGTATTTGGGAAGACAAAGAAAATTTCTTTCTGGAAAAGTTTACTTTGATGGTAGCCATTTGGTCTTTGTCCTGGACATGTTTGGTCTTTGATTGCTGGACAGAGTACCATAAATGAAGACATAGCATTCCATACCAACAGTAACCAAATAAAAATGCAACAGAAATAAATATATCACCAATATTAGAAACATAATAATAAATACTTAGAAATAAATCAGCCTGTGCTAAGAACTTTGTGGTAAAAATTCTAAAAACATATTCTTAGGAAATACAAACAAATGTTAATAAATGAGAAGACTCAAAACTGATAAGAAATTCTGACAAACTTAATTTACAAAATCAATTCAAGTTTAATTTCCAGTGAGGGAGTTTTTGGACTTTGAAAAGATAATTCTATCATACACATAGAGATCCAAAGAGCCAGTGTAGCCCAAACAACTTTCTAAACGAAGACTACGTGTAGCAAAGTCCGCTCACCAGGCATCAAGTTCCATTATTCAGCTGTAATAATTAACACAAAAAGTGGACATGACCATGAAGGGCTAGGTTTAAATCTTCCCTCTGCTACTTACCAGCTGTAGGACCAGGGGCATGCTCTGTCCTCTGCATGCCCTGTCTCCTCATTTATATCATGGGAATGATATAAATGATATAATGGAATTTTTTTCATATGGAAAACATTATACATAATGTTTGAAATTTTCTTCAAAAAAAATCCCTGGGGGGAGGCAAAAATGGTCAGGTTTTAGACAAAACAGAAATGGCCATGAATTGAGCATAAAGTTCCCATAGCATATGCCAAGCACATAGCAATTGATCATTGTTCAAACTGGACAATGGGTATATGAAATGGAATATACTATTAACTCTACTTTTGAAATGTTAATACAAAGACATTATATAAAAACTACTTGTAATTCTAATAAGACAATACTACTTTACTTTAAAACACACACACACATACACACACAGCCAAATCTCATTTGCAATTGCTAATATGGTTTCAATAATTAGCTTCAATTTTCCAAAGTACTTTCAGTCTCTCATGGACTGAAAACTTTGTATTTGCTCAATAATTTCTCCGAAGGAGTTGAACAACTAATATTTTATGTGAGTAACTGACTAGTATGGAAAAGACCTGCTGTTTTCTTTCACATATTTTTACTATATATAAGAAAAACACATGCTATTGCTTGGATTTACAGTCAGATATGTCAACTTTTTCCTTATTTATTCCAGCTGGTTGGCATAATTCAAAGTGGAGCTTCTCTCAGTGTGAATTATTTGTCACTGGGTATTGCATAGAAGATGTTTTAAATAGAAAGGATAGGTTTTTTTAAACCACATTGTTCATTATACTTGGCTTAAATATTTCAGACTTCTGAAATTTCAGACATCAAGGTTAACTATATCTCCATGTATTCATGTGGACTGAACTGTGTGATACTCTAAGACGCATACTCATGAGCATTTGGGAACTTCTCAGACCATAATGACAGGATAATTTTTAAAAGTTTGCACCTACATGAGGTTCCTATCACCATTAATTTTAAATGAAAATAGAATCTTTAGATTTTATTTATTCATAAAAAAACAAAATAATGAGTTTTTACCTGTAAAATAGAAAGTACAACATAGCAATCAAGGGTATGTTCTTTTGAGTCAGACGGATTTCAGTTCAAAACCTGCCCTAGCACTGCTTGTGTCAGGAGGACCTGTGACTCACCCCGCTGAACCTCTGCATCCTTCTGAGTCCCTGCACCCACCTGAGCCTCTGCACCCATCTAAGTCTCAGCACCCACCTAAGCTCCTGCATCCACCTGAGCCCCTGCATCCAAATGAGCCTCTGCACCCTCCTGAGCCTCTGCACCCAACTGAGCCTCTGCACCCAACTGAGCCTCTGCACCTACCTGAGCCTCTGCACCCACCTGAGCCTCTGCACCTACCTGAGCCTCTGCACGCATCTGAGTCCCTGCATCCACCTGAGCCTCTACACCCTCCTGTGCCTTGGCACCCAACTGAGCCCCTGTACCCCCCGAGCCTCTGCACCCCCCGACCTTCTTCACCCATCTGAGCCTCTACACCCTCCTGAGCCCCTGCACCCACGTGAGCCTTTGCATCCACCTGAGCCTCTGCACACCCCTGAGCCTCTGCACCCTCCCTGTGAACCCGGGGATCCTACCACCCACCGGAGCATAGAGCAAAGCTTATCCCTCCTCAGACTGCTACAGGCAAGTCACTATGCAAGTTATTTCGAGACAAAAATATAGACATTCTGCTACCATCAAAGAACTTAGCTTCTACTCAGACAGACAGGATATCCTGAAAACTAAGACCCGTTTCAATGGGACAAATTCCTTAAAAGGGCGCAGGAGACAGGAAGACCTGATGCTCAGACCCCGAGGAGAAACTGCTGAGCCGGGAAGTCCGCCTTCAGCAGAAGTCCCTGCTCCTGGCTCCCAAGCTGGCCTGGTTGAGGGTCATCAGGTCCAAAGTCGCCAGGCCCTGGGTCCCTGAGCAGCGCACGGCGGAGGCGGGGCTTGAGCCTTGGCGCAATTCCAAGCTCTGGATGCGTCCCCAGGTCACTGCCTGGAAGCAGGGAATAGGCCAGCGCCGGCTGCGCCCAGCCTGCTCCTCTCCCCTGACGGTCACAGCCGCCCCGACCTCATCGCTCTGTCCACGGCCAGAAAAAGAATTCAGGACACGGACAGAAGGGGCCAGAGGAAGAAGCGATGAGACCCGCCCTATGTCCAGGACACAACTTCCCTGCCCTTCTCGCCTGCGACGGCTCCTCCTCCACCTCCTGACCTACAGCCCAGCCCCGCGCCTGCCTCCAGGAACGGGAACCCACGACCCAGCCTCGCACCTGCCTCCAGGGACGCACGACCCAGCCCCTCACCTGCCTCCAGGGACCGGGACCCACGACCCAGCCCCGCGCCTGCCTCCAGGGAGCGGCACCCCTACCCTGTGCGTCGTCCTCGGATTGAGGGGCCTTGCTCCGTTGCGGTGCAGGAAACCATGGCGATGTGCGAGAGGGTCAGGGTCGTGCTGGCACAGGTAGGAGGAGAGAGTTATGACAGGAAGGAGCTTGAGCAAAACCAGGAAGGTTGGAAAAGTCAGGGAGCCAGCGGTGAACACTGAATTCCGTAGGAGGGCAAGAACTCAGGAGAAGGTCGCCGTGGCCGGTTCAGGTGAGTTTGTGTGACCCGCTCAGCACTTCGGAGTTTGTTCTGCACCACACCGTGGGAGGTGATGGATATCGGAATGGGTTCGTTTCCAGGACTCGTCAGCTAGCCACGTGCCTGAGAGCGAGGACCCTCAGTAAGCGACATCCAGGAAAGGAGGCTGGGCCTGCAAGAATCGCCGGACTCAGGGGCCTTGGATGTGTGTTCCCTGGACTGAATGAACGGGGCTGTGCACCTCTCTGTCTGCAGCCGTACTCTCTACCCTGTCTCAACCCCTGCTGGAAAAGAAAATAATGGAAACACGATTTTTTTCTGGAGTTATTTTTATTTAGAATTGTGATTCTAGAAGAATGAATTCATCCTTTTAGAAACTGTTGTAAGAAGCACGTGACATGAAATCGACCCTCTTAAGCCATGGTTGAGCGCGCACTCCCCATCTTACGACAGGCACCCTTGTGCAGCGGTCTCTAGAACTCACTCACTTTGCATAGCTCAGGGTCTGTGCTGCTTCAGCACCATCTCCTCGCATTCCTCTCCCCGAGCTCCTGCTAACCGCAGTCTAGTCTCGGTACTTGAGAGTTGGACTCCCTTAGGTTTCACATCAGGACGAGCTCATGCAGGCCTGGTCTTTCTGTGCCTGGCTTATTTCACTTAGCATGGTGTTCTCCAGGTTGCTGAAAATGAGACTTCCTTTATGAATAATATTTCATTGTAGATAGGTACATACATTGTCTTTATCTGTTCATCCTTCAATGGGATTTTCACAATTTGTCCATCATGTAAATCAGTCTTGATATCTGAAATAAAATACGTCTAACAGTGGAAGGTTTTTAACTGTTCATTTAAAATATATATATTAGAAGCAGCGTATAATTTCAAGCCAACAAAGCCGGACCCTGACCCTACAAACTGAGGCTCCCCTACAGCTCTGTGTGCCCCAGCTTTCCCAGGGTAAAATGGGGTGAACCTCTCACTCTCTCCACAAAACTGCCAGCAGGATTTATCTTCATGAAATATATCAGCACATCTTTTAAACTATAAATATGTTATTGTCATAGTTTGAGAGCTCAAGAGAGTGATTTTTAAACTGAAGAAATAATTCAATAATATGTCAACTGTATTTCAATTTCCATTATGTTGCTTTATATTGTTCACTTCTGCTATTTTTTTCATCATTCATTCAGTTTCTGCACATTTCCACCCATCTGCCCAGTGAGTGATGAAACTATTGATCAAGTGCTAGGAAATGTCATAACTTAAAATCATCCATCTTATTGTTTTAATCTGGATTTTGTTAATACAATAAAATAGAGGCTCAGGCAAGTGTATTAAGTACCCAGTTCACAGTAACAATGCACTGAAGAGCGGGGATTCACATCTGTGTCTCTGCATGTTGAGGATGTTTTTCTGTCGTGTGCTGACTGTGAGCCTTGACCAATGTGCTTTTGCCTCTGGCTTACGGCTCAGTTCCAGTTAGTCCAGCCTCTGCCATGCTCAGATCTCTCCTCCCCTGCCAGACGTGGTGGACCTTCTGGCTGGACAGTCCACTGCCTTCCTCTGCCAGCACGTTGGATGGAAATCAGAGGATGACTGCCCTGGGGCACAGTCAATCTGCAGTCTTATCCTGGAACTCTCAACATCAGGCAGCAGATGCCTTCAGTTTTAATTACTAGCCACTATGCTAAAGGAAAAGGCTGGAAAACATTAAAATTAATTACTTCTCTTCATCAAAAGACACCTTTAGAAAAGTGAAAAAGTCAGGACAATAGCAGCAAATATAATCCAGTTAGGTCATCAATTCAGAATTCCGACAAATCAATTAGAAACCATCATAGTCATTGTCATCATCACCCCCACAGAAAGCTGGTAGGAGAGCTTAGCAGTCATCTCACAGGAGGGGACATCCAAGCTGACCACACTGGAGGAGCACAGTGCTTCCCAGGACCTTCGTATCTTCAAAGAAGTAAATGATATGAGAAAATTTCCTGGCATGTCCCTGAGCAGGAGGTGCATAAGAATATATTCAGATGTTGAGTTGATGCGGGTGGAGCAAAACTCAGGCTACATTGGATATCATTCTCCAAAACAGTCTCCTTAGAAGGGAGCCTTCTCCATCTGATGAAGACATGAGGATGCAAAGTGCTTGGAGGAAATTAAGTGAGACCACAACTTCCCAGTAGAGAGATGGTTGAGGATTGGTAGTCAGCACTTTATGGTATCTTGTCATTTGTGAAGAAAGAAAAAGCTGTTTATGTTGATAAACAACTTGCTTTGACTGACTGAGTTGAAAGAGAGAGTGGGGATGGCTAGGAAGAGAAGAGAGAGAGCAAGAGAGAGAGAGGGCAGGAGAGAGACAGATTGAGAAACAGAGAGAAGGTGGATTAATGTTTCAATGAAGAAGCTCTGGTATCTATGCCTTGTAGGCATTTTGCATAAGGTTTCAGGGTAGGTTTAGCATTAGATAAAATATTATGAGAAAAACAAAATTCTAAGAAGTGGTGACCTTCAGAAGATCATCATATAAGACTGGACCCTGGACCCACTGACTAAGCTCGGAGCACCTCCTGTTGCTCCATCCTGAGGTGTGTGGATGTTTGCACAGTGAGAAAGTCCATAAGGCCAATTATTTACCCTGAACATATATTCACTTTTATTGTGCTAATGTTTCATTTGCTTGAAACTTTGGAGACCACAGGGTGCTTAAAGACATAGACTCTTTTCTAAGGAAAAGAGTTAAATGAAACTGAGTACACACTGTATATATGTGTGTGTGTGTGTGTGCTCATACTATGTGTATATGAGAGCGAGAGAGACCACTGTATCTATATCGATCTATCTATCTCTATATAGATATATGGGAGAGATATATAGATGGGGGAGAGAGAGAGAGAGAGAGAGAGAGAGAGAGAGAGAGAGAGAGAGAGAGGGAGAGCTCCCAGTGAGGACAGCTTCTAATATTTATTCATTCAGTAAATTAATTACTGTTAGCAGCAGTGAATCTGCACAGGTTTGCAGCAACCTCATTTCTTGCCTCCTCAGATAGAAGAATTTGACTGACGGCCACAAAGCAGAGTGAGAAATCAAGGCAAGTTATAGAGCAGGAGAGAAAGTTTATTAAAAAGTTTCAGAGCAGGAATGGAAGGAATTACACTTGGCCTTCTTCCGAGTAGGTAACTTGAGGGATCCAAGTGCCTTCTTCAGCCCTTGACTTGGGGTCTTATACACTGGCATATTTCCAGAATCTTGCCTCTCTTCTCCCCTAATTCTTCCCCTGGGGCTGGGCTATTGCGTGTGCAGTGGGCTGCCAGCACTTAGGAAGGGCTGCATAAACAGTGTGTTCACTGAAATTGTGGACAGACTCACTTGACACACTTTTCCTTTACCATTTCAGTGTTCCTAGAGCAAGCTCATATACCAGTGAAACACCCCCATTTTTCCTCTTAGGGTGCATGCTTGAGCCCACTTTCCTAGTCCTGAGATCTTACTGGGAAGCTGCTGATCACGTTTCAGGTGCTTTCCATCTATTAGGAGACTTCCTTTCCCTGGCATCAGCTGTGACCTCTTATGATTTTAGAGAGACAATTTAACAACCACCTGACCATTGCCTGATGGTCACCTGGCATTTCTGGTGGGGGTTGGGGAGCCCTCCTGCCTTGCTCACATCTGCCTAGCTAACTAACATTACCGACTTTAGAATAAAGGTCCACATCACTGGATTAATAAGGCACTGTTGTCTCTCATTGGATGTTGGCTGGCTGGTGGGATTTGCCTGCATACATACACAGAAGTAAAGAGCAGGGGAGAGAAAATATTCATAGAATCAACAATTTAGAAATGAAATTTTTGATGATTTTCTTCACCATTATAGGCAAATGGAAGCATTTCAAATTGTAAACTCTTTTTAGAATAATGAATAATTCTTTAAAATGAAATGTATCAATACTAGTAGGCTTTATTTGGGAACAACAAATCCACACCTTCAAATTCATTCTTAAATATTTCATGTAAGAAAGCTGTAGCACAGAGCAGTTCATCGACTTGCCAATGACCACAGCAGCTCACTGCTGGTGGAGCCGGGGCCAGGTTTGTGTCTCACTTTTTCAAACCAGTGTTCTCAAATGTCCAAACTCATTAGTTTCAAAGTTATCACATTTTTTTAAAATCTGAAAACAAGCTGATGGCTTAGAAGCTGATGTTGGGAAGGTGCTTCCAAGTGATACAAGTTTTGCATTTTCTCTTGTAGACACCTCTTGGGAATTCACTAAACGTGTCTGCTATGGTCTGAATATCTGTGTCACCTCCTCCCAGATTCATATGTTGAAATTATAAACCCCTAATGTGATAGTATTAGAAGGCGGAGCTTTGGTAGGTGATCAGGTCAACAGGGTGGAGGCCTCATGAGTGGGGATTGGGGCCCTTGTGAAAAAGGAAGGCTCCATCTGTGAACCAGGAAGCCAGTCCTCACAGGAGATTTATCTCTGGGTGACTTGGTCTTGGATTTCCAGATTCCAGAACTGTGAGAAATGAATATCTGCTGTTTGTAAATCCCCTGTAGCCTGGTATTCTGTGATAGCAGCATGAGCAGACTAGAAAAAAGTCCTGCCGGTCACATGGTGAAGCCTCAGCCTGATCACTTCTATCTCTTTTGGTTTTTTACTTCCTTGAGTGATTCCTGTATCTCATATCATGTGAAATATATTTCATCGTGTTTGAGATTTTAACAGGTCATTACAAAACTAATGATAAGGATAATCAAATTATTTTAATCCTATGAAATTAAAATCTCAAAAGAAGAGAAGAAAATGGAAATGAACCACCAAAATAGTAATAATCATAATGACCACAGTAACAGTAAGCCCCTTAATTTGTGTCTTGAACATGTTCTTGGTACCTCCCTGTGTTTACAACCAACCCTTTCACCAACCATGTGGGGCAGGTGCGTTATTCTCATTTCACAGGTGAGAGCACTGAGGCACACAGAGTTTGAATACATTGTTTAAGGTCACATATTTAGTTTATGTTACAACTAGGGTTTTTTTTTTTTTGTTTTCTTTTTTGAGACAAGTTCTCACTCTGTCACCCAGACTGGAGTGTAGTGGTGCAGTCTTGGCTCACTGCAGCCTTGACCTCCAGGGCTCTGGTGATTCTTCCATCGCAGCCTCTAAACAAGGCATTCTGACTCCAGAATCTGGTACACATACCTAAAAAAGTGAAACCTGGTACCTCATCTGAGAATAAGGCTGACTACATAAAACATCACGTGGCTACACTCCCAACCGAGGCATCAGTAGTACGCTTCGCCCACATAGACACACACTTTTTATTCCCACTGTGTGTTTATACCCTCAAACCCCTTTGCAGAAATGATTGAGTGCTTTCTATAGGGCTTCTTTTAGCCTAAATTGAGAGTAAAGGTTTAAAAAAACAGTTCAATATTTAAAAAAAAAAACAATTCAATGGACTGAGCACAGTGGCATACGTCTGTAATCCAGGCACTTTGGGAGGTAGGAGGGTCACTTGAGCTCAGGAGTTCGGGACCAGCTTGTTACAGCTTGATATGTAGCATTTCATCTCTACAAAACAATTTTTAAAAAATTAGCCAAGTATAGTGGCATGTGCCTGTACTTCCAGCTACTTGGAAGCTGAAAAAGGAGGATCTCTTGAGCCTGGGAGGTTGAGGTTGCCCTGAGCCATGATCATGCCACTGCACTGCAGCCTGGGTGACAGAGAGAGACTTTGCCTCAAAAAAGAAATAAATAAAATAAAAACAAAATAAAACCAGTTAAATGGACAAGAGAAGAAAAAATGGGGGAAAAAACCAATGAAAGATACCAATAATAGACATTTTATACAGATAGTATTTGAAAAGTTTTCTACATCTTAGATCCAATATGTTTTTTTTCCAATCATATGCTCTCTTCTTATAAATAATCTTGCAAAAAGGTAAAATAGTTATAGAATCATCATCAATTAGACGTGCAAATTAAATGTAGTTCCTCACAAAGGAAAAAAAACTCACCTTTTTGTTTCTTAAACTGGCACTTGCTAATTTAGAACTTTATTGTAAAATAAAATGCTTTCTACTTCCCTAAGGGGTTGGGATTCCTATATAGTTTCTGCATACAGGAAAGAACTTTAGATTTTACTTTGGGAAAACAAACTTTTTGAATTAATTTTCAAATAGTCACTTATCCTATGATGAACTTCGTAGACATTTTCCCTGTAGTTTTTCAAAGTTGTTAAATAGATCGCACTGTACACAGCATATTATTACACACGTGGTACACCATGGTTGTCTATGGCATATGGAGCTGCGTGCAACCATGCAAAAAGCTGTCTGCAAAAGCGTTGGCTTGACTGGAAGACACAAGGAGGGTTATGGCTTCTCGTGACCTTGATCATTCACTTTAATTTTTACAGATTCAATTTTTGCACGTAGAAAATGGGCCAGTCATATCTGTCCTGATGTCTGGCAGTTAGTTATGATGCTCTTTATTATGATATATGGGGAAGAGTTATTAAATGAATAAACAATGCACTATTTGTTTTCATTATGGAATGCGTTAGAGTTTGATAGAAGCCATACTATTTTCATTTATCTGAACTTTTACTGCTTAGACTACAGGGGTAGGAGTCACATCTAGATCATGTTACTTCATTTACATCAGCAATTTGCAGGGACCACCTGCAGCAGGGACCCGCCATGGGCTCCGCTTTTGATTTACAGCTCAATGCACCTGGAGTTGATCATGGAGCCAACGAGTGCTGTTATGCTGTGACAAACCTTAGTGTTTTGCTTGCACCTCTTTTTTGACATGCGAACTATCCTACCATAGTACCTTGTTTGCACTTCTTCCAAAATACTAATAATAAACAGTTATCTGAAATAGCACCTGAAGACAAATGCTTCTAGAATGTGGGCTTTGGGGAGGCCATGTGGGTTTGTCAGGAGAGACAGAGAGCAAAGGCTGCGGGCGTGCCAGGCTGCTGCCGAGGGGCGCGAAGATGGTGGAGAACATGTCCCAGGCCTGTTTGTCCCACCTTTTGTATACAAGACACCTTGTATGTTTCCTTAACAAACTTGTGCATGCATCTTACATGCCCTACCAAACTAATTATTTTGAAGCCTACTGCAGCTTCATACCCTCCTTGTATCTTCCCCAAGGCTCAGCCTAGGGCTTTATACCAGGAAGCTACTTGTTAAGCCGTTTTGCTTTAAAATATTAATATCACTATTTCAGATGCAGCCACATTCATATTCAAAATTTCCTTTTACATTAAACAAATCCTACTGATCAGTAGATGGCAAGCTTGCTACATCTAAATACTGAGGTTTGGTTTTTCTGTTAGAAACTTCACTGACATTTTATTCCAAAATATTTAAAGCTTCTTTAAATTGATAGCATTCAGTTTGTTGTAAAACTGACCTGCTAATGCAATAGTTGATGCGTTCACTCACATCGAACTTCCAGCATTTAAGATACTGAATTAAATGAAAATGGAATTCCCAAGTCAAGTAAACAAATGATGCACTTTCAATTAATAAAGTAATTCAGAGTTTTAATTCTTATTAATTAAACTTCTATTTCCTCACAAAATATGCTCTAGCTACCCCATAATGGTTGCACCTGAAGAAACACGTCTGTTTGCCAGAAACAAAATAAAGAACTGCTGGTCACAGCTGCTCTGTTATGGTCCTCTGCTCATAGCACTGTTTCTGTTTTAATATAAGCTAACCAAGCAGGGAGAGAAAAGTACTATGTCAACCTCACCCACATGAAAGTGCCAAATAAGAATTCAGGAAAAGACAAGGGAAGTTAAGTTCTCAACAAACAAATCAATATGATTAAGAAAACTAACAGAGATGACTTGAGCCCAGGAATTTGAGTTCAAGACAAGCCTGGGCAACATGGTGAAATCCAGTCTCTACAAAAAACTATAGAAATTAGCTGGGTGTGGTGGTGAGTGCTTGTAGTCTCAGCTACTCAAGGATCTGAGGTGAGGTGGGAAGATCACCTGAGCCCCAGGGAGGTTGAGGCTGGAGTGAGCCATGATGACACCACTGCACTCCAGTCTGGGTGACAGAATGAGACCACCCAGAAAAAAAAGGAAAGAGAAAGAAAGAGAGAGAAAAAGAAAGAAAGAGAAAGAGAGAGAGAAAGAGAGAAAAAGAAAAGAAAAGAAAGAAAGAAAGAAAGAAAGAAAGAAAGAAAAAGAAAGGAAGAAGGAAAGAAAAGAAAGAAAGAAAGAATGGAAAGAGGGAGGGAAGGAGGGAGGAAATTAAGAGGCAAATTGAATTCATACTTTATTTATTTATTTATTGACAGTCTTGCTCTGTTGTCTAGGCTGGAGTATAGTGACTTGATCACTGTAGCCTCCACATCCCACGCTCAAGTGATTCTCCCACCTCCGCCTCTCAAGTAGCTGGGACTATGGGCACATACCACCATGCCCAACTATTTTTTTTGTTGTTATTTGTAGAGGTGGGGTCTCACTTTGTTGCCTAGGCTGGGCTCGAACTTCTGAGCTCAAGTGATACTCCCGCCTTGGCCTCACACATTGCTGGGATCACAAGCATGAGCCACCATACCCAGCCTGGTATACACTTCAAATGACTTGATGAGAAATACATTTTATTTATGAGTTGTTTTCTATTTGATAAGGTTTTTGACAGATAATTTGATCTGAAAAGAAATCATGACTTTTCACGAATAATAAATAGTATTAATTTTCTACAAATACTTTTTTGGGCCTTTAAAACTCAACTTTATATGATAAAGTCTAGATTATAGTAGAACAAAGGTGATAATAATTTGTATATTGTCTTGTACAAGACAAGAAATCACAGCTAAAAGCTACATAAGTGGCCTGGGCAAGGTGGTTCATGCCGGTAATCCCAGCATTTTGGAAGGCTGAGGCAGGTGAATCACTTCGGGAGTTCAAGACCAGCCTGGCCAACACATTGAAACCCCATCTCTACTAAAAATACAAAAAATTAGCTGGGCATGGTGGTGCACATCTGTAATTTCAGCTACTGGGGAGGCTGAGCTAGGAGAATGGCTTGAACCCGGGAGGTGGAGGTTGTAGTGAGCCGAGATTGCACCAATGAACTCTAGCGTGGGCAACAGGACAAGACTCTGTCTCAAGAAAAAAAAAAAGAGAGAGATAAGTGCACTTTATAGTCAGATGTGTAAATATTCCCTTTTGTGGGATAGTAGAGAAATGGTCTGGCTGAAGATAAGTGTCCTGACTATCTATGGTAGAAACAGTCCCAGACTGCAGTCACATGAAGCCACAGCTGTATATTGTAGTCATGGTTTTGTGGGTTAGACATGCAGGCAGAACTCAGCAGCAGCCGCGCCGCCTCCATCGGGGAGGTCAGGTGGCTCAGTCGCACCGAGGGGGGGTCTTCTCTTCTCCCTTCTGCATCTGCGGACTCAGGAAGGCTCCCACGGTTTCTTGTCTCACATGGCCTGTGCCTGGGGTCTGCATGTGGTCACTTTGGGCTTTCCCGTAGTGTGAAGACTTCAGAAAAGCTGGACTCCATGGAGACTGGGGAGACTGGGCTGGAGGGAAGCGGGCCAACTTCGCCTTGCCCTGCCTTGACAGCCCTGACTGTTGTGTCGGCCATGATAAATTAGCCAAGAATAATTGTGAAGACCAGCCCTGGCTCAAGGAAGAAAAAAAAAAATAGACCCTTCTTCTTAGAGAAGCAGCAAAAAAAAAAAAAAAAAAAAAAAAAAAATTCAGCCATCTCTAATCTACAAAAATAAGTATGAAAAAGTAAAATTCAATGAGTTCATAGTCTAAAGAATTACAACCTAATGCTTTGGGCAATTCTTTTTTATATAAAATGGACAGGAAGTGCTTTCTGTGCTACAGGGCACTAAAATCATCATAGAGTGAGACTGGGAGAGTCATCCGAACCCATCCTTATCCCATGAGGACCAAAAGTTTCCAGGTTCTGAAATTAGATTTTCTCAGTCACATTCCAGGCAGAAAGCACTTACTTCATGCACATTGGTCTGGTTCACTTTCAGCATTGGAGGAACAAGAAAATAACACTAATTCCAGCTACTTCCCCGAGGCCACATTACCTCCCAGGATATGAAAATGTCTATGTCATTTTGCAAATAAAAATGAATAATTTGAAGTGCATGCATATGATGTCATCGCAAGTATATATTTGCTTATTCATTCATTTTAATTATAAGGATGTTTTTGTTATAATATAGTTTGACTCTATTCATATTTTGCAAAAAAATAATCCTTTTGGGTTAGAAATTTCTGTAATTAGTTTCAGCTTAAAGATCAACTAGATGAAATGTACAGACTGTTTTAGAATGGACTATAGTTGTCTATAATTAATAGCACATATTGCCTCTGAATCCCATATGGGCCCTGAGAGAAGAAACCCTTCAAATCAAAGTCTTACCTGTCTCTCTTTTGTCTTAATCTAGAATGTTTTTAAATATCAGGTATATATGTAGGATGAAGATTCATGAATAATGTGTGTCTTATTAGGTAAAATTCACATTCTTATGAGACTGATTTTTGGAAGATATTCTTTTAAATCATGTTGAGAAGCTACACAATTTCTGCTGATCATAAATGACTGATTGGCCTATGTAGTACACTGGTCATTTATGGTGACCTGCAAATTAGAGACCAGGCTTTTTAAAAGATATCAAAACATGTATATTCCCAAAATATGAGAGCTCATTCTAAACTCTGCTTTTATATATTTTGACACTAAGGCACAGTGTAATTTAAGTGATTCACAGACGTTCATTCAGCTCCTGTAAGAATAAGTGTCTGTAGAAATATCTGAATTCTGATGCTGATCCAATGGAAGTTCTACAAACTCTTTGAACTTTTTATTAAAAAAATCTCAAACACTTAAGTTATGGTTGTTAGATGTTTCATAAAGCCAAACAAAAACTTCAGAGGCAATAAACCTCTAACACAGAGTTGCTATATTTTGTTTCAAGTCTTGTTTTCTGCATAGCTTGCTTTGGCTTCAAAATGTGCATGGCTTGAAATACAATAAAGAAAAGACTTCAACGTGTGTGGATTACATATATTGGTTACATTATCAGAACTTGAAATAATAATGAAATGTGGGCTTCAAGACCATGTGACTAAATGATTTCTCACACTAGCTTTTTATACTATAACAATACCCAATTCCTCCTAAATACTTCTAATGATATTTATATGGTTGGCTGTGTCCCCACCCAAATCCCATCTTGAATTGTGTCCCCACCCAAATCCCCACTTGTCCTGGGAGGGACCCGGAGGTAACTGAATCATGGGTGCGGGTTTTTCCTGGGCTATTCTCCTGATACTGAATAAGTCTCATGAGATCTGATGGCTTTATAAAGGGCAGTTCCCCTGCAGGTTCTCTCTTGCCTGCCACCATGTAAGACGTGCCTTTGCTTCTCCTTTGTCTTCTGCCATGATTGTGAGGTCTTTCTAGCCATGTGGAACTGGGAGTCCATTAAACCTTTTTTTTTTTAAGTAAATTACCCAGTCTCCTGTGTGTCTTTAGTAGCAGTGTGAGAACAGACTTACACAGGTATCAAACCATATCTGGTAAAAGTTAAAGAGCATATTCTTTGAAAAATTAAATAGCTCTTTATCTTGAGCTGTTCCTTCTGATCTAATCAACTTGAAACATTAAGTGCAGCTATGGAACAAGTTGAAAGGTGGGTGTATACATTGGTAAGAATAGTGTAGCATTTGCACTATGCAGATTTTTTTAAAGTTCATTTTATTAGAGTACTTAGTGTACTCTTAATGTAATATTGCTCACATCTGCTCATAGGTAATAACTCATTGCCACATAAGGAGATAAAGCAGCTCAGGACAATGAATTGGTCTGAGTTTTGTCCATCTGTTCCTTTCCTGCCTGCCTCCTTGACACCGTTCAGCCACTCGAGACTCTAAGCATTCTTTAATCCTTGGTTCAAATACCACATCTTGCCTCCATTCAGAAGTCTTGCCTTCTGCCTTTGAGCTCTTTGCTAGTTTCTCTCTTTATCGTGTATTATTGTCTACCTTGTAGTCAATTTTACTTATTTCCTTGTTGGTGTCTTTTCTCCTCCTTAAGGGGACAAATCCAATTTTCACTTTGTGCTGGAAAAACTAAAAGGTAACTATGAATTTGTAATTTATGACCAAATAGGATAGACACTAGAAATCGGGAAGTATAAGGCCCTTTCTCTTTTCTTTTTTCCAGCACTGGTATTTTAATGTGCAGGTGAAATGGGAAGTTCAGTGAGGCCTACTCTCCAAGTTCCATTAGCAGCTCACCAGTCTGTGCTCCCATTGAGCTAGTTACAATTCTGTCACAGAGCATATTACATTCATCTTAGATATTCATTTTCTTGCCTTTCCAAAAGGTTCAGTGAGAAATGGGAGGTTTAATTTTCTAATTTGCCAGTGCCTAGCATTCTCTCATCTTCAAAATTTAGCCCATGATATTTCTCAGACTTGCCATAAAATAAGCAATGTAAATATATGTATTGTATTAACTTGGGAATTTATGATTTAGTATTAAGGTACTCATTTGGTCTGAAGAAATCCCATGGTTTTTCTACATTTTAATAATACAAACATTAATCAATGTTTATTGAGCGCTTGCCATATGGCATGCACGGTGCTGAGAGATTTATGTACATTATCTCATTTAATCTACTTTACAACATTTTGAATTCAATATGGTGATTGATCTAATTTTGCAGTGGAGGAAACAGACTCACAAGCACACAGCTGTAAGCACCAAAGATCAGATTAAAACCCAGACCTTTCAGCCTCAACTGCTCCTTCTGCTTGAAATCTCATTGCCTACACACTCAGGGGCTCCCTTCTTGAATCCTTGTCTTTTACCAGGAACCTGCTCTCATAGATCACCTGGAAGCCCGAGCTCATGGGTTTCTCCTTCTCTGAAATTAAGCAACTAGAATTTGGTATGAGAGAGCTGTGGGCTGGAGAGGCACTCACGTTTTCATAGCCTCCAGGATGTATGTGGCAGGAATGGAAACACAGGTCAATTGAAGTACAATATTGGCTGAGATTTCCAATGCAAATAAAACATCTGAAAGCTATTTCCCCATTTGCTTTTCTGTTTTTGATAATTTAAAGGCTCATTTAATTCTAATTTTAAATGAGTTTTATTTTCTCCTACATGATGGAAGCAGCAAAGGAGAAAAGTTTAATTGGGGAATGTTTTTTAATTTGAATATATACAAATGGAAATATAGCATAGATACTCAAATCTAATATGCATGATCTACAAAGAGTGGGAAAAAATCTATTCTTGTTGCTATAGTAACTAGAAATTGCTTTCAATATCTCTATTTTGTTTTTCACAGTGGATTGAGATCTAATGTCAATTTTCTAGTATGTTTCCCTGCCACAAAATATTTTCTTCTCCAGTCCAGAATGTTTCTGCCTTACATAGTTCCACTCAGAAAGCTTGTAGAATGTCAGGTACTGCTTTGAAATGTGCTAGGATTTATTTCAATACATGTGAAATACATGGCCATGTATTGATCATATACAACATGCAAAAAAACTACTTTGGAGGCATAAGAACAAAACAGACTAGAACGTTACCACCTGTGGGGCCACTGCTAAGTGATTTCTACCCAAAGACCTTTAGGGGATGATAGAAACAAAAAGTAAATTGAGAAGTACATAAGAAAATTTGGTAGAAAATTCTCCAAAAATGTAGGCAATGCCTTCGAACATGAGGATACAAATGTCACATAAAATAAACTGCACCTAGCATTCTTTTATTCCTTTGCTGATATTTGAAATTCCTAATGAAACTGACTATGTCATTAGAAAAGCAGTGATTGCTTCCCGTCTTTCATGCTTTCTCACAGGACTCTGAGTCTGCCCTGTGGATGCATTCACTCATTTGAAAATATTACTAAACGTCTGCTGTGTGCCAGATGTGTTGGTGAGTCCTGAGGCCAAGAAGGGAGCCGCCAGGATAATGGAGCCTAAGAAGCTGCTCCACTCGGTCCATCCGCGTTTCCTGGGGCTTCCCTACCCTTTCCTTATGCCAGCTCCAAGAAAGGGAAGTAGGAGCCTGGGAGGAGAGGGAGTGGTCTAAAATTCAAGCAACACAACTGATACCTATTGATCTTGAAACACCGTATTATTCTGTTCCCCCCACCCCGTTCCCCACTGCTATAAAGAAATACCTGAGACTGGGTAATTTACAAAGAAAAGGGGTTTAATTGGCTCACAGTTCTGCAGGCTGTCCAGCAAACACAGTGGCTTCTGGGGAGGCCTCAGGAAATAGTCAATCATGGCGGAAGGCGAAGGGAAAGCAGGTACGTGTTACATGGCCAGAACAGGTGAGCACCAAAGGGATGGTGCTAAACCATTCATGAAGGCTCCATCCCCATGACCCAATCACCTCCCACCAGGACCCACCCCCAACATTGGGGATTACAATTCAACATGAGATTTGGGTGGGGACACAGATCCAAACCATATCAAACACGAACACATTCCCAGTGCTATTCTAAGTGCCTTATTAATAGGGATCAGTTCCATGCAAATATCCTGTCCTGTTACATCTCTACACAGGCAATGGGTAGATCAAGAAATATTAATGAGAGAAAATCCACTGAGACTACTCCAGGCACCATCATTGGTACAAAGTGGGGGAAACCAAAGCGGAATTCACTGCGCTCATTCACAGCATGTTGGCACCCAGGGCAATGCGATTCCTGCCGCGTCAGCTTGACTCCTGAGGCAAACAGGAGGCCGACGGCCACGTCAGTGTGTACTGGACACGGCTGAGAATCAGATCCATGTCTCTGCTCCTCTGATCGTAATGCTTCACGTATGACCTCAGGAGTGGAATCAGTTGCATTGTGTATCCTCTTGTGGATGGCTCCCTTACTGGGAGCCTGGCTGTGATCCAGGCACCACCCTAAGCTCCTTACTCACCTTAGCACAATTAAAGGACTCACTTGATTCAGGAAACACCCAAGCCAAAGAGCGACATTAACTTTCCAGCTCACAACCCATTGGTGGCCAAAGTTCTCAGAACTACGAGGTTTCTGAATTCAGAAACTACACAATTCAGATCCTTATTCTAATCCTTCTCTTTATTTATTTAGAGACAGAGTCTTGCTCTGTCGCCCAAGCTGCAGTGCAGTGGCACAATCATGGCTCACTGCAGCCTCAACCTCCTGGGCTCAAGCCATCCTCCCACCTCAGGGTCCTGAGTAGCTGGGACCACAGGCGCACACCACCATGCCCGGCTATTTTTTTTTTGTATTTTTTGTACAGATGGGATTTTGCCATGTTACCCAGGCTGATCTCAAACTCCTGGGCTCAAATGATCTTCCTGCCTCAGCCTCCCAAGTGGCTGGGACTACACGCACGTGAAACCACACCTAACTAATTTTTTTAACATTTTTCTGTAGAGATGGGGGTCTTGGTAAGTTGACCAGGCTAGTCTCAAACTCCTGGCCTCAAGTGGTCCTCCTGCCTCAGCCTCCCAAAGTGCTGGGATCATGGATGTGAGCCACCATGGCTGGTGGCTGTGTACTCCCTCTCTTTAGGTCTCTTCTCACTCAATAGCAATTTTCACGAGGTTGATGATACTAAGCAGACTGAACGTCCGAGCATTCTCACCACAGCATGCACTAACTGGCTGACGTCTCTTCTGTCTGAGCTGTCCTGATGGTGACTAGTGACCCGCCTCTGCCTCCTGCCTGCACTCCCTCACGGTCGGATGTGCCCTCGCTCCTGCAGACAGGCGCTCTGGCTCTTGAGTCCTCATCGTTTCTCTGGGCAGTGTTTCATTCCACAACAGGATCTCCTAGAAGATGTCCTCTCTTAGCAAAATAAGTTTACAATTCCTTTGTCACCACTAAATTCTGTATGGAATCCACTCTTTCTATGCCCCCTTTTACACACAGTAAGTCCAAGGAGGGTTAACCTCACTGTGTCCAGCTGCCAGGTGTCAAGGTGGTGAACGAGGACTACAACTGGGGATGCTGGTGGCAGCCAGCTTAGAAGCAGGGCATCCTAGGTGAGGGGTTCAGCTTTATCTCAGTTGTGCTGACCCATAAGCAGAGGAAACAACTGGGAAGCTGGCAGTGGATGGACAGGTCCTGACTCTTCCGGGCTGGTTGCTGAAGCAGTCTGGAGTCAGAATTTGATTTCCAAATATGCGCTGGCCACCAACCCACTGTGCATTCATTCTTTCCATCTCTTCTGAAATCTAGATGCAGCTCCAACTTTCTCCTCCACTTCCCTACCCCATGTCTCACCATGAACATGGGTTAAGGTTTTCCTCGTAACCTCACGATATTCTTTCAAGCTTTTCTTCCCCTGCCATTGTGTGGCGGCTCCTTCCAAGCAGGCAACGCCACTGGCCTTCAAACAAACAAAGCCGTCTCTTAACCCTGGACCTCACTCTGGATTTTCTTTCCTCCTGGAATCCTCCTCACTGTAGTTCACTTGACTCCTCACGCCCTCATGCCATTCAGCTTCTGCTCATGAGTCAGCCCCTCTGAGATGCCTTCTTTGATTTTGTTTTCCCTTGGTGTTTGTCCAGTGCGTACACTAGTGCTGGAGGCTTCTGTATTTATTTGTAATCTGCCTTTCTAGGGGAAAGATGCTCACTGAGTTATCTCCACTTGAACAGCTAACAGTCATCTTCCATTTAATTTGCCAGAGTCAAACTTCTGATTTCCCTAAACACTGGCAATCAAGGTCTTTTTCTCCCCCCATCTTCCCCATCTAAAACTTGGCAACTTGAAATCCCTGTTGTTCTAGTAATGACTTGACTTCGTCTGTGCTGAGAGGAGGCAAAGAGTTCTTTAGAAATAAAAACCAGAGTGAAAATAAAAAATAAAATCAGTCTAGTCTGTTGTCTGGCAACAAAGACAGGGGAAGAAAAACAGACAAGTGAAATTGGGCATGAGAGTGACTTCTGTTTTTAAGTAACAGAAATACTCCGGAAGGTGTTCCAATGTGAGAGGATGCAGAGGTGATTTCCATGTGACATGAATACACACAGTCGTCCACACAGACCGAAGGCCTGTGTATGCCACAGGCTTGAGCACAACACCCTGCAGACCCCACAGGCATCAGAGCTCAGGGCTGCTGCTTTTCCTCACTCGTGTCGGGGATTCTCACCACTCAACGCACCCCCCACTTCAGTTGCTCAGTATCAAGAGATGCTGCAAACCTCCTATTTTCACCCTAGGATGCCTTCCCTCTCATACCTGGACTGGGATGGTGAAGACCCACCCTGATTCGCAGGTTACTGCAGTTATTATTGTAGTGACTTATGTATGACTTTAAAGCGTAGCACAATGTGGATCTCAAAATACCATGTTAAGGCGTAGCGGCAGGCTGGTTAGGGAGGGTTATCCATGCAGAGCAGGTGAACCCAATGTTGGGGCTTGGCCCAGGAGGGTTCTTGGCTTCACCCAGGAAAGAATTCAAGGGCCAGCCAGTGGTGTTCAACAGCAGCTTTTACTTAAGCTGCAGTGTGCAGCAGCAGCAGCAGAGGTACTGCTCCCCATGAAGCGGGTCACCCCTTAGGCAGTGAGCCCAGAGTCACCACTCAGAGGCAGTGCTGCAGTGTTATTTACACCTGTGTTTAATTATATGCAAATTAAGGGGCAGTGTTTGCAGACACTTCTAGGATGAGCGTGATAATTTCCAGGTTGTCCGGTTGTTGCCATGGAAAGGCGTGGTAACATCTGAGTGTTGCCATGGCAATGGTAAACTGGCATGGCACACAGGGTGTGTCTTACGGAGGCTGCTTCTATCCAGCCCTGTTTTAGCTAGTCCTCAATTTGGTCCAGTGTCCGAGTCCCTCTGGAGTCCAGGCCACCTCCTAGCTCCTTATGGACTAAAAGATTGTGTCTCTCTCCTCAATCCTTATGTTAAAATGTAACCTCTGAGGCAACAGTGTTTGCAAACCATGGCTTTGGGAAGTGATTAGGTCTTCAGGATGGACCCCTGTTGGTCCCTCTTGGTTGCGATTAGTGCCCTTATAAAGGAAGCTCTAGAAAGCACTCCTCCCCTTCCCCTATGTGGGTTTACAGTGAGAAGACAGAGGTGGGCCGCCTGGAAGAGCCCTGGCCAGGGCTGAGCACCTGACACCCTGATCTCACACTTCCAGTTTCCAGAATTGTGAGAAGTCGGTGTCTGTCATTAGGCCACCCAATATGGTATCCTGTTACTGCAGACCATACTGACTCAGACAGGGGTAAAAGGGGGCCTGTGCAGAGCCCTCTGCTCTTGCTCCATGAAACTGGGTCTTCAGAGGAAGGTCAGTTGGGGACAGGACAAGAACCACTAAGGACCGCTTGTGGTGGGAGTGTGCAGGCACAGTACCGGGTACTGCACAGACTTCTTCTCTGCAGCTCACCCAGATATCACGGTCTTCATGGACGCTACCATGCTTTGCACCCTCCCCGAAACCTATACAAACATTATTTTAGAGCACAATATGTAGTCAATCAAAAAATGGGAATGGTGTCCCAAATATTTATTTTGTAGAAAATAAAGTTTAAAAGTATATTTATGCTTTTGTATTTAAAAAGAAAGGAGCCTCTTTGTTCTTTAATGTGAAAAGGCAATCTACAAATCTTAGGTGCTTTTTCTTTAATCCTACACAGAATTAAATTCCCAGTTCTTGATAAAAATTTCGATTTCTATTGACTTAGGTGAAAAACTCCATTTGAAACTATTCACCTTGCCTGAAATAGATGTTCTTTAAGGAGCAGTAGAACAGGTGTCCTAAAAGAAATGCTAACGTGCATTGACTAAAAGTCAAGTTTAAAACTTCTTTCCCCTCTTTTTGAAAGTTTATGGTGATAACGAGCTAAGCGAGATAGAAAATGTGCTCTAGAACTTAAGTTTCTCAAGGACTTAATTTTATTTTTTATAAAACAGCTACTTTATTTTTTCCTTTTTTTAGTTTATTGTGTAAGTTTGTTTCTTCCAAGTAATAATTTTTTCCTACCACTTAACAAAGTCACAAAGATATATTAACCACCTGAGTCAAATAGAGACTTTTTTACACAATACGGTTGTAGATAAAATCACCAAAGTTTCTGCCTTTTTAAAACATCATGTGGGTGACTGTTTATCCTTAACATTTCTGAAACCCTCCGCAAGTAGAGAGCATAACTGACAGAGAATATCCAGGAGAGTGGTGGAGAGGAGGGGGAGGGAGAGACAGAGAGAGAGAAAGAGAGAGAGAGAGAAAGAGAATGTGGCAATGCTTGCTCTTTACAGAAATTGAAAGTACTTTTGTCCTGTTTGATGGAAATTGTCACTTGGAACAGGAAGGTGAAGGCGGATGTCCTAGAAGCCACAGAAAGCAGTTGCTTTTACGTGAGACTCCAAGGATGATACAATAATACTTGAACGTCAACATCTCTCCACTAGAAACCTAAATCTGGGCACTAGAATAACACACATTTGAAAGCTTGCATTGTTGAAATGCACACTTTCTAGAAAAATGTAAGATAATAAATTGACTAAAATTGTAGTAATGGCTTGGTTTTCAGATTCTATTTGCTCTATGAAAGAAGGAAGTTAAGAAATAGTCAGCTTTTGTGTGTTGTTTTATGCTAGATAGGGAAGAGAAAGAGAAAGGCAATATTCACCTGTTAGTGCCAAGTGCAACTATTGTGCATGTAGTTGGATGTAAGAGATGGAGGTCAGGAAAGGAGTCATTGACGGAGTTATAGATCCTAGATTATCAACAAGTCGATGTATTTAAAACAAGAGAGGAGGCTGAGGTCATTGAAGACATGAAGATAAGTAGACGAGAGAAGAGTTCTGAAGAAGAAAATCTAGATTATGCAGATATTTAGAGATCAGAGGAAGAAGAACTTACTAAGGTGGATTCAAAATGCTTAGAGGAGAAACAAGAAGTATGGTGTCCATTAAGCTGTGAAGAAAATGTTAAAACAAAAAGCATGAAGAATGAATGGATACTTAACTCCTGATAAGTAAGAGGTTATTTCCCTTGACCAATTAAAAAAATAAAACAGCTTTATAAGTAGAAAAAGATTGTATTCACACAAGGGAAATCTAACACATCAGCCACTCTTTCCAATCTATTTAGAATAGAGACCTAGATAGGCAGTTTCTATCTGAGTACACTAATAGGGACTTTCATTTTATCATAAAATACACGGCATTTTTACTGAATAAAATAATAGTAAATGGGATTTCTATCATTACCAGTGTCATATTTTATTGTAGTTGTTTTCATTTTTCATTTCTCCAAAATCATGCAAGTTCCTAAAGGGCAAGAAGTATGGATTTCATTTTATTTGTGTCACTATAGCCCTTGATAATGCCCAACACACAGCAGAAATAAAATAAATGTATGTTAAATAAATCACAGGCTCAGTCAGTTGATACATTTAAGTTTTCAACAAGAAAATCAAGTGTTAAAATGATTTTGCATAATTAGACTAAGGTCATATTTTATCTATATAAATATTTGGGAAAATTAGTGGTCTCTTTTAAGTTTTTCCATGCGTATCAAATTCTTGATTCTGACTGCAGATAGTGGGCTTTTTAGCAGCAGACATTGAATGATTAATTTAGGTACAAACCCTCACATTCTGTGGTTTCTTTCCAAACATTTGCAGATAATAGATGTTTTAAGAATGGGAAAGCTGCTTTTGTTTCGTTTGTTTCACTGATTTAGGATAAAGAGTTTGGAGAGTTTAAGTTTTTTGTCTTGAAATTATCCATTTAATTTTTAACTGCAAATATAGGCACTTATAAAGGATGAACAATGCTCAGAAATTCAGAGTAGAATGGTCTATGCTAGAGGTCATCTGGCTACCTCCCACCTGGACATTCCGATAACACTCAAGTAATCTGAATAAAAAGTGAACAACCTCAGCGACAGGCCTCTATTCTCACCACTTTTCCACACACCTCCTTCTGCTTCTGGTTTATTTTAACTTATGAAAAAGTTCTTAACCTCAAACTGGTTATTTCCATCTTTTAACTTTCTCAGATAGGGATGATCTGATTGAAAGTACTTTTTTTTCCTCTCTTTTACCTGTCATGATGTATTCACTGACCTCACCCTCTTCTACAGTTTTAAATGCCATCTATCTGCTGATAATCCAGGATCTAGGACTCCATCAATGGCTCCTTTTCTGACCTCCACCTCTTTTTTTTTTTTTTTGAGTTGGAATCTCACTCTGTCGCCTGAGCTGGAGTGCAGGGGCACAATCACAGCTCACTGCAAACTTTGCCTCCCGATTCTCCTGCCTCAGCCTCCCTGGTAGCTGGGATTACAGGCACCCTCCACTAAGCCCAGCTAATATATATTTTTTTGTATTTTTAGTAGAGATGGGGTTTCACCATATTGGCCAAGCTTGTCTCGAACTCCTGACCTCACGTGTCACCCGCCTCAGCCTCCCAGAGTGCTGGGATTACAGGTGTGAGCCACCGCTCCCTGACCTGACCTCCACCTCTTATATCCAGCTACTTACACCATAATTGCACTTGGCGACTAATAGGTGAATATTACCTTTCTCTTTCTCTCCTCTGTCTAGCATAAACGAACAACAAAAGCACACTGTTTCTTAGCAGATTTATACAGTTTGGCTGTGTCCCCACCCAAATCTCATCTTGAATTGTAGCTGCCATAATTCCCACATGTGGTGGGAGGGACCCCATCGGAGGTAATTGAATCCATGGGGGTGGGTCTCTCCCATGTTGTTCTCATGATAGTGAAGAAATCTCATGAGATCTGATGGTTTTATAAAGGGGAGTTCCCCTGCACAAGCTCTCTTGCCTGCCACCATGTAAGATGTGCCTTTGCTTCTCCTTCGCCCTCTGCCATGATTGTGAGGCCTCCCCAGCTATGTGGAATTGTGAGTCCATTAAACCTCTTTCCTTTGTAAATTGCCCAATCTCAGGTATGTCTTTATTAGAAGCATGACAACAGACTAATACACAGATGAGCAGATACAGATATTTACATAAGGCATTTCCTTTTTTTTTTCCTATGGAGATTATGGCAGGAACTCTTTATCACCGATTTACAGATCACACCCTGGACCCAGGGTCTCTCGGGAGGTCTCCAGGATCAGTGGGCATGAAACATCACCCTCACTGATTCTTCCTTGAAAAAGCAAAGAGGACCCAAGCACAAGAAATTTGAGCTGTCACAGAAGTTCTGGTGAGTCAGGCAGCACAGCCACATTTGAGGTTCAGGACCTACACTAAACACAGAGGGTTAAAGCAAAGATTTCATCTTACATTCTGAATATCCCGACTTTCCACAGCCTTCATGGGCTGATCAAAGAAATGGTGCAATCAGAGAGAAGAAAAAAAAAAGAAAGAAAGAAAGATGCGTGCTTGAATATCTTTCTTCAGACCACATGCTGGGTCTGAACAAATGCTCTGATTTCATGTAAATAAATGGTTTAATGGGCTTTATTTTACTTTGTATCACAAATAAAAATTCAGAATGCAAAGGGATAAAAAGAGACTTGAGAAAGCACGTTAAAGATACTGTATATGTCAATCCCACAGGAGACATTGCTCATCACTTTTGAATAAAACACTAATGTGGATGGCAAGCGAAGGTAAAAAAAAATCTTTGATGTTTTTTGGGAGAGGAATCTACAAATATAGCCACTTGATTTTACAAAGATGACATTTTAAAACTATTGTGTATATTCAAATGTATGTCAAAGGAAAGTTAGCCAAAATATTCTGAAAAGAATATCTAACAGAAAGATAAAGACTATTATTGCTCCTTAGATAACGATGATTTTCTTAACATTTCATATAGATTATCTGACATTTGATGATTTTTATGTCTGCCTTTGGAGACACTCATTGATCCGTTAGAAATCCAATGGGCATTCTATTTCTTTCATTGACCTTCCTACTCCATAAAGTCGAATATTTATAGATTACTTAGTCTTGGAAAAAACGAGATGATGAGAAACTGGAAGATACATTGTACTGTCCTTAAAAAGATTGAGACTTGGACTCACAGGTGCTTGAACTTAGATTCGTTAGGTATTTAACCTTTATTTTAAAAATGTTTGCAAATTTATACTCTAATATACTAGTAAATGTGTCAAAAATTTCAGTAATAGCACAAGGAAATTATATAACCTTCACTTAGATTTGGGTTCACATATTTGCTTCCTCTCTGCCATCCCATTCCCTACACACACACACACACACACGCGCGCATGCAACTACACACACACAGAACTACACACTTGCGCAGACACACACACAGAACTACACACAAGTATGCATTGCCCACAGGTACATTTTCTGAACGATTTGAGAGGAAGTTAGAGACTCTTTTACTGGAATTCTTCAGCATTTCATAAGAACAATGACATTATTTTCCAGAACTACAGAACTACTATCAAACTAAGGAAAGTCAGCATTGATACAACACAGTTATCTGTGTGTATTCAAGGATCATTACTTTTCTCAGTTACATTTTTTTGGAGCTATGTCTGTTATTCCCCCTCTTCCAGACCAGGTTCCAGCTTATTATATCTTCTTTAATCTAAACATGTTCTGAGCTATCATTGTCTTTGTCATCTTTTTATGATAACATTTTTAAAGATTATAGATAATTATTTTGTACAATGTACCTTAATTTGTATTTGCCTGGAATTCCTTTAGCTGTAGATAAAGGTAACATATGTTGGGCAGGAAACCTGGAAGTGTTGTAGAATGCTTCTTAATGCCTCCCATAGGAAGGTACCCAAGGTCTTTTTGTCCCAATATTGGCGATACCCGCTTTGGTTTATAAGGTGGTATAAATATAAAGTAAAAACTTTCCCACTTCAATAAATAGCTAATTTACGGAAGGATAATTTGAGATAATGCAAATATCTTGTTTATCCTCAAAATGTTACCCACTAATTTTAGACTTCATTGATAGTATTCCAAACCCATTATTCTATTTATTAGATAGCTTTTCTCATTTATCCATTTATGTATTTCTACCAGTATAGGCTGCTGGGTTTGCATTTTGTTTTATTTTTATTTTCTATGTGTTTTATTCCATAGAATACTCTTTTTGCACTATCAGTTTTTCATGCTCATATTTTCTTATATTTGGACAGTGGTAACCCCTTCAACTCACCCCTTCAATTCCTCCCTCCCATTATTTGTACAATTTCCTCATACTTTCTATGTTTACACATACAGTAAACACACAAGCTATTGTTATTTTTTGCTAAAATATTTTTTAGAGTAATTCAAACAAAAAAAGATTAATTTTAAATTCATTCATCCCATTTCCAGTGCTATTTGTTTCCTTCTGTTGATCCAAGTTTCAGAAACATATTTTATATCAGCCAAAAAAGTTTTTTTTTGTTTTTTTTTTGTGTGTGTGTTTTTTTTAGATGGAGTCTCTCTCTACGGCCAGGATGGAGTGCAGTGGCGCAAATGTGGCTCACTGCAACCTACGTCTTCCTCCCGGGTTCAAGAGATTCTCCTGCCTCAGTGTCCCAAGTAGCTGGGAGTACAGATGCGTGCCACCACACCCAGCTATTTTTTCTTTTCTTCTTTTTTTTGTTTTTTGTATTTTTAGTAGAGACTGGGTTTCACCATGTTGGCTAGGATGATCTTGATCTCTTGACCTTGTCATCTGCCCGCCACAGCCTCCCAAAGTGTTGGGATTACAGGCATGAGCCACCGTACCTGGCCCAAAAAGCTTCTTTATCATGTTTTATAAACTAGGCCTGTCGAAAATAAATTCTTTCCTTCTTTTCTTTCTTTTTCTTCCTTCCTCTCTTTCTTCCCTCCTTTCCTCCCTCCCCTCCCTCCCTTCCTTCCTTCCTTCTTTCCTTCCCTTTTTCCTTCTTTATTTCTTTTTTATTTTTTTTTCCTTTTAACTGACTATTTATCAGTCCTTTTCAAAATACTTTTATGGGCATGGAATTTGGGGTTGACAGGGTTTGTTTTTTTAATTTCTGTAATGTAAGTTTAATGTATTTCTTTTATTTCAATAGGTTTTTGGGGAACAGGTGGTGTTTGGTCACACAGATAAGTATTATAGCGGTACTATCTAAGATTTTGGTGCACCCATCACCCAAGCAGTGTACATTGTAACCAATGCATAGTCATTTATCCCTTTCACTCCCACCACCCTTTTTCCCAAGAGTACCCAAAGTCCATTGTATCTTTCTTATGTCTTTGCACCCTCATAGCTTTGCTCCTACTTATAAGTGAAAACATATGATGTTTGGTTTTCCATTCCCGAGTTACTTCACATAGCATAATGGTCTCCAATTCCATCCAGGTTGCTGCAAATGCCATTATTTCATTCCTTTTTATGGCTGAGTAGTATTGCATGGTATCCACTTATTGATTGGTGGACATTTGGGCTGGTTCCATAGTTTTTCATTTGCAAATTGCACTGCTATAAACATGGGTGTTATCTTTTTTTTCTTTGGAAAAAAAACTTAAAACATGAAACTTAATATATCTTCTGGCTGACATGGTTTCTGATGTCAAATCTGCAGTAATTCTTACTGTTTTCTCCCAAATGTAATTTTTTTTTCTTTTTTCCCTGGGTGTTTTCAAATTTTCCATGACATTTTGAAAATGTGTGTCATGTTTGAGTCTGCTTCTGATAATTTCTTTGTCTCTTAGGAGTGTGTTGGTTGTTTTAGCCTTCTCATGGAACTTCTTATAAGTTTTAGTTAAAAGCCAGGCATGTTTTCAAGGACTATAATGGTGGAGGTAAAGAGATTTTATGGTGGGATATGTCCACTAATTCCCTTCGCTGGCCATTTTCTGTGAGATTTGCATTAATCTAGGACCTGGTGTGTGCTACAGTAACCCTCTGTGACCTAAAACTTTTACCTTTTTTATACAGATAACTTGTGTGCAGGGTGGGGTGGCTTGCCAGAGCAGTCTTGTTCTGTTTGATTCTGAATGTTGTCTTCTCTTTGTGTTGGACCTTACCAAGTCTCCCTTTTCAAGCTCTTGTGTCTCGCCTGTTCTCCCAGAAGTATACTCTTGTTGCTTGTTATACCAACCAGTGAAAGGACAAATAAATGCAAATTAAAAATCAGAGGCTGAGTTCTCCTTCTCCAAATAAGGGAAGAGGTTTTCCTGCCTTCTTTTTCCTAAGAGAATTTATTTTCACAAATTTGTGATTACAAGTACTTTCTCCTTTCTTTGAAATGTATATGAAGTCTTCTGAATATGAGATATGCCTCTTGTCAACTGTATGACCCAGAAATGCCTCTCCTAAGACCTGGGAGCCATCTCTTTGAAATACAAACATTGAGGAAGATAGAGCCCCTGTCTCTGTTCTTGAGGGAACGTTGGAGCCTAATTTCCTGGGGCACCTGGCTCCAAGTTGCGAAACTATATCATTTCACTGGGATATGAGAAGTTTATTTTCCACTGGATAAAGCCAATTAGCTAACACAGATAGTCATCTCAATTACCAGGTCAATCTAAGATGAACTATGTGTAATCAATGATGCTGAGGAGTTGTTCTACCTAAGGGCTAGTTACTGTTCGCTAATCTTGAAAACAACTTTGTAACGGGCTGTATCTGCCTGTTGTATGAAAGCATGAGATCTCTTTCCTTCTTTGCCATCTCTCAGCAGACTGCAGTGTGACGTGTATCCCATTCTAGTTTAATACTTACTCAATGACACAATTGTTCTTTTTGTCTTCTACCCCTGTAGAGAGGTTTTCTGGATCTGGGGGAAATATTGTTTTTAATCATATTTTCCCAACATCCCCCTGTTCGGGCCTGTGGTTGGTGTGTTTGTGGTTAGACATCAGCTTTGCCTGTCTTTGTCCCTGGGTGTCAAGGTAGGGCTAGCCTCTTTTCTCCTGATCCTCCACTATTCCCCCCGATTCTGTCCCCCATCTGGAGTAAGAGTTCACCACCAGCTCCCTGGAGGCCCCAGAGCCTGTTTCCCTCCGTCCTCACACTCAGGCCTCTGTTCTGTAGAGGGGCTGGGGAGGGAAGGGGTCCTGGGTGGGTTTCTTGTCCCTCCCCCGGGACTGCACCAAAATGGATACCAGGCATGTCAGCTGCTTTGCTGGTGAACCCCTTGGTTTGTGGAGAAAGAGCTTTCTGAATATTGGCAAAAGCTCTCTCCGGATAAAATGTGTGTCAGACTTCTCGGAGTCTCTTGATTGTGCCTTGAACTTAGGCTCGGTCCACAGCCAGCTTAGCTCACTTTTGGCTAAAATCCGGCTGGGTTGCCAAAATTCCCACCCTTGATATCTGATCAAATTCCTCATCCCCTACCCTTGATAGTTCATCATCCTGGCCTTGCTTGGACAAGAATCCTTTAAAATGGATAAGCCAGAATCTCCCCGTAGCCATGTCGCCCTAAAATAATCAAAAAGTTCAGAATCTAATTTAAAGAGAATTTTTCAGGCACAAAGTATATGGACCACCCAGAAACACAAACTTCAGAGGAATAGAGTCATGTTCTGAAGTAGAAAAGTTAAGATTTCGTTTATACAGGCAGAGAGAGACAGAGGAGTTTTAGGAGCATTGGGACAGTATTCATCCAAGATTGACACATACTTACAGCAATGCTAACAATGCTAACTGACTTCAAGAATTAGTATAAAGCTGCAATAATCAAGACAGTGTGGTACTGGAGAAAGAATGAACACATCAGTCAGTAGCACAGATTAGAGAGTCCAGAAAGGGACCCACATATACTCAAGTGGTTTTTGACAAAGGAACAAAAGTAGTGCAATGGAAAGGGGATAGTTCATTCAAAAAAAACAGTGCTAAAAAAACAAGATATCCACATGCAAAAAATGTGAATCTAGAGACAGACGTTACACCCTTCCCAAGAACATTAGCTCAAAAGGAATCACAAAATTTGGGACAGCAAATTTGTTCATGCAGCCCTTTCACTACCCATAACTTCCGCTACAGTCCAGACCCTCACAGTCCCTCAAAGGAGCCCCACACCCAGTCACCACGTAAAAAACTGCAATGTTTGAAATACTGATTTTTAACGAGGCAGAAATCCATTTAAAAATGAACACTGGCAGGTGCCTGAAAGCACTTTAGATTATAAAGCACTTAAAATATATACCTATACATGTATGTATTAAAGCTTAAATACACTAGTACCAAGAAACTTTAAGATACATTCAACAAAGAACAAACTCAGGATAAAAAAAAAATGCAGTGTTCGAATAATCTTTACAAAGCACTTTTTAAAAATTTCTAATATTCTTAGAAGACATTTGAACATTAATGCCTTTATAGAGAAATTAACTTAAACACTAAAGAATTCCCTTTGATATTAAAACAATTATTCCCAATGTTTACACAGGTGTTATACTCTATTGATGTGACTTTAGTAGTTCCCTTTAAAATATGATTACTTATATTAGTTAATGGGTAGCTTATTTGTTTTATGTTTACTATGAAGATTTTCATTTTGGGGCCAGGTCCAGTGGCTCACACCTGTAATCTCAGCAATTTGGGAGGCCGAGGCGGGCGGATCACTTATGGTCAGGAGTTTGAGACCAGCCTGGCCAACATGGCGAAAACTTGTCTCTACTAAACTAGCCAGGCGTGGTGGCAGGTGCCTGTAGTTCCAGCTACCTGGGAGAATCACTTGAATCTGGAAGGCGGATGTTGCAGTGAGCTGAGATCGCACCACTGTATTCCACGTACTCCAGCCTGGATGACAGAGCGAGACTCTACCTCAAAAAAAAAAAAAAAAAAAAGTACCCTGTATCTGAATGACATGATTCTTAACATCTAAGCACACTTATTCATTAGAGTTAGACTTATGTAAGAAGCCATTATGCATTTTACTCTGTGTAACTGTCACTGAGCAACTCCTGGTCTTATTGAAAGATTATTAGGTGAAGCTCATTCATTTATTCAAATGGTTACTTAATAAACACCAGTATGACATTTACTTTGTGCAAAGTGCTGTCCTAAGCACTTTGCAATCTCAATGTATTTAAGAAGATTAAATAAGTATAAGTATACACATATAAAATATCAGCTCAATAATAATTATGTGCATCTACCCTAGGAAAGACATTCATCAGTGGCTTTCAGTTCCTGGTAATCTGTAATAATTTCACGTAGCAATCTGTAAATTACTGGTTTAAATCTGCCCCACATCCAGACTGCTGCGTAGCTGGTCTTCCTCCCTGCCATCTATTATAATTACAGCTGACACAGCCACGATACACAACCTCCTTCGCATATGTCATGCATCCAATTGCTGTGCTCAGTAGTAATCCAAACAGATCATTAGCAACTCAACTGCACAGCTCAAAGCTCAACAAACAAAACAGCACCATTGATTCCCCAATATAAGAAAATTTGATGTTGCAAAAATATTTGTTATGATTCTTCAAACTGTAAGTTATTTTAGGGAACATAATGTTATTTCTACCAAATGGTAAGGGCGAAAGTTAGATTTAGATCATCCACATTCATAGAATAAAAGAGTTAAACTACAGCCAATTATATTTTATGAGATCCTACACATCTTTATTCTTAAATTCTTGACTGTATGAAAGCAGTTGAGGAGTAATACACAAATCATTCCTTTAGAATATGTTCTCCTTAATTTTTATGTATGGATTTTGTCCCTGAGGCTTAGATGAATAGAAAACCATCAGCAAACCTATGTATGTATCTTTCACTAGTTTAAAAATGAAAAGCTGTGTTTTGTGGATTCACTACTTTAAATTCTCATTTTTAAAAAATGAATGTTTTTTTTCATTGCCAAAAGATTTGTGATGAATGGGTTGGAGAATGAAGCTAAGCATTTTATTATCAATTTGCATGTTTACTCGGCTTAAGTAAACTTTCTTATCATGAAAATCTATTGTCCTAACAGATTGCCTGAATCCTGTTTTCTACTTGTCTTGAAAATTTACAGTTCCTATGAAGAGCTTTCAAGTTAACACAGGAGAAACTAACGATCTTTTCCTATCTTTAACTGCTACTGGATTCCAAAACCAAGTTATTATTTATCACAATGCTAGCAATGACTAGCACTCAACAGATATTTTTAAATTAATGAATAGATAAAAGTATCAAGAAGCTATACATACACAGCAATAGCTATGACGTACTTGCTCTTTACGTTATTATCTTCTCAAATTTGTGCAAATTATAACTCAGAGAGATCAATTATCTTCCTTGCCTCAGGTCACAAGTATTGGGCCTGGACTTGCATTCCAGATATTTATGAATCCATAGCTTTTCTTCCAGCTACTGCACTGTATCTGCTACATGTGAGTCCATATGTTACTTTTCTCATGTGAAACTCCCAGCTAACTTTAACAGATTTGTAAAATGAAAGCCCCGGTAGGCAAACGGGAGGACAAGTTCTATCTCAAAGATTTCCCTCACACAGGGAAGTAGACGACAGTGGAAGTACGTGCATTTAAAACATTCTAAGGGCCGGGCACGGCAGCTCACACCTGTAATCCAAGCACTTTGGGAGGCCGAGGCGGGTGGATCATGAGGTCAGGAGTTCGAGACCAGCCTGGCCAACATGGCGAAACCGTCTCTACTAAAAATACAAAAAAGTTCCCGGGCGTAGTGGCAGGTGCCTGTAATCCCAGCCACTCGGGAGGCTGAGGCAGGAGAATCGCTTGAACCCGGGAGGCGGAGCTTGCAGTGAGCCAAGACGGTGCCACTGTACTCCAGCCTGCGTGACAGAGCGAGACTCCATCTCAAAAAAAAAAAAAAAAAAAAAATTCTAAGACTCACATGGGGAAAACGAAGACGATGCAAGTGAGACCATCAGCACTAAGCCTGGGAGAAGGGGAATCAGTCTCCTTTGTCAGAAACTGGAACATCGTCGTAACTTTCCATGCATAGTGATGGCAGGACCAGGCTACTCTCAGCCTCAACCACCTTCTCCTGAGCCCCAACCTGAGAAAGACATGCATTAATGAAGAATGTGTGGGGAGTGCCACAGGACCACGTTAAGAGCCTTGAACTTGGAGAGACGAGGGTGAGAATGCAAACAAGATGAGGAGGTCACTGAGAAGCAGACTCTGTACAAGACCCTTTGCTCCTGGCTCATCACATTAATTTGTGGAGCCACTGGGTGAAAACCCCAGCTAGTGATCAGAATCCTACACCACGACATAGTGACAGACCACTGGGTGGAAAAGACACTCCACAAAGCAGTAGGCACAGAAGCAAAATCAGAACATCTAGGAGGTGTTTGCTGCAAAATCTAAAATGGACATGAAAGCTCCGTGTTAGAAACCAATTTGTGGCCTGGGGATGAGAGATAAAAAGGGTCATTATGCCAAGAGTGCCCACATGCCCTTGAATAAATTTTGGATCACTGAATTGGTAATGTAACTTTACATCAATCAATACCAGATTAAAATATAAAAGCGAGGTTTCTTCTTAGCAGCTCGTGCAGAGAGGAGATCAAAGAATAAGTCAACCACCACAGATTTTAAAAATACTTGGCCTTTATTGAATTCTTTTGTTCAAATCTGTGACAAAAATTCCCAACATCGGAATGATGAAAAGAGTCTACAGTGTGAAGAAAAAAGAATATGAACCTTGCTATATTTTACTTTATTTTATTTTATTTCTTTTTATAAATGTTTATTTTTTATTTTATTTTCCCTAAGTTATTGGGGTACAGATGGTATTTGGCTACATGAGTCAGCTCTTTAGTGGTGATTTGTGAGATTTGGTGCACTCGTCACCCGAGCAGTATACACTGCACCCTAAGTGTAGTCTTTGATCCCGCGCCTCCTTCCCACTCTTACCCCCAAGTCCCCAGAGTCAATTGTATCATTTTTATGGCTTTATATGAAGAAATAGATTTACTGTTGGAGGAATTTTTTTAAAAACTTTAGAAAGCTTCTATATTGTATTTTCAGTAACATTCAAGAAAACATGTATTTGTGAAATAAGAAAAATGTCAATGGGCTGAGATAAAAGGACTCAGCTGAGGAAGATTCAGGCAAAATTAAAAACAGAGCTTGGTAAGAAATCAAAATTTTAAGTAACAGTATGGAAATCAGTGTAAGAAGGATTAACAAGCAAAGCCCCCAATTTAGCAAAGTATATAAGTTCTGGTGATTACAAGCATGAGACGCAAGTCTAGAATAAAAAGCAAAGGACGCTGATTAGAATACAGCCCATAAACAGGTGAAAGAACAGTCTAGAACCTGGGTCAGTTTTTTGTTTTTTGTTGTTTTTGTTTTTTGAGATGGAGTCTGGCTCTGTCGCCCAGGCTGGAGGGCAGTGGTGCAATCTCGGCTCACTGCAAGCTCCGCCTCCTGGGTTCACGCCATTCTGCCTCAGCCTCCCTAGTAGCTGGGACTACAGGTGCCTGCCACTACGCCTGGCTAATTTTTTGTATTTTTAGTAGAGACGGGGTTTCACCATGTTAGCCAGGATGGTCTCGATCTCCTGACCTCATGATTCACCCGCCTCGGCCTCCCAAAGTGCTGGGATTACAGGCGTGAGCCACTGTGCCCGGCCGAACCTGGGTCAGTTTTATTCCTAAAGAAATTTTTATAAAACATCATAGAAATAACAAAGACAGTTTCCTGGTATAAAAAGAATCTATGTCTGTAGCTCAAAACGGATCACTGATACTCAGAAACACTTATTTTAAATAGTCAACAACAACCCCAAGTAGTTCAAATAGCTAAATATCTTCCAGCGAGGCAGCTTTAGTTCCAACAATAATCTACAGCTTAAAAAGCAATCAGGACTAGAAAGCATCAGTAATGACCAGGACACAACTGGAAGTCCTCTAAATTGGTCACTCCATTTTGTTTTCGTCTCTGACTACACACATTGGCAAACAGAATTTCAGTGTTCCTTGGAGTTGCCATGACTAACATGTTCACTATCTTGACTATATTTTACTCACCAGAAAAATAAGCTTAGGTGGTCCAGGTTCTATCTACACAGTTCTACAGCTCCCTGAGGTGTGGTTATTGTCAAGAACTCTGAAGGGCCTGAGATTTTACCATGCTTAGAAGTTGATGAGTTAACCTACCAGCTCCACGGTGCTGGCTGCTCCTGGGCAGGGATCCCTCACTGTTGAGCAATCAGCATCAGCTTCGTGTTAGTGTTGTCACAGCGTTGTGTGGTACGGTGCAGGTGGGTGCTGCGCGTGAAGTGGGTTTGCATCACTGCTGAAGAATAAGGATAGAGATTGTGCATTAAGAAAAATGAAATTATTAATAAGAAGTTTTAGGAATTAATAAAAATTTAACGCAAAGGAATTAATATATGGAAAAACACAAAACAATATAATAACAGCCCCATTATATTTCTTTCTACATTTAGAAAAGGTGGAATATTTCGTGACTCAGCTGAGGTGAATCACTAACTCTTCAAAAAAAATAAAAAGATAAAATTGGGGTTTTATTTTACATAGTACACAAAAAACTATTAAGAAGTTGATTAAAGACATATAGAATGGCAAGCTTAGAAGCCCCCACACTTAGGCGATGCAAGCAGAACTGTCCTGACGTTTGTTCTAGACGCACAGATCATCTGTGCTACACAGCGGTCAGTGGACAAGCCAGCTCTCTGGCCTGCGCATGACTACATGTCTCCTGTCCTTTAAGGTTAATCATTATACAAACATCATTTGGAAGATATTCCAGACCAAAAGCTGCCCTTGTGTCTACATGCCGTGTTGGGAGAAATGCAAGAGACCCGTGGAACGTTGTTTCACAACATTTAGAATTGTTCTTTAAGAAACATGCAAGATCACTGCCTTCTGAGCACCCCTGCACATTACAAATATATTCCTTCTTTTCAGATTATTGTTCTCCCTGCTGTCTGCTCACCGTCCTGTGGGGAAGCCATCCTCCTGCAGGAGCATGTGAGCCTGCTCAATGACTGACTACACAGGACATCCAAGAGAATTTGTTCAGACTAATTATTAAATTTTAATTAGGAGTTCAGTAAAATTGTTGGATAAGGGTGCAAAAACAATAGTGTCTCTACCCTCCATAAAAAGCTCATTTAAATTGGTGGTTATCAAAACAAAGACTCCATTCACAATAAACCCAGACAACCGAAGAAAATTCTAACAAAAGATGTACCTGATTTTTACAATGGAAACGATGTATTTTATGGGGGATTACACATCAATTCTGAATATATTAGGAGATTTCTCCTGCATCTAGAAAAGAAAAGGAGAATATAATAAGTGCTCCCCAAATTAATTCAAACATTCCAAGCAATTCTGTTTGAAAGCACAACTGATTATTTTTCAGAGACATAATAATAAGATTAATAGTTAATCTTCACAAGGAAGCATAAATGACCAAGAATATTCGGTACTAACTTGAAAATGAAGAATAAGGATAGAGATTGTACATTAAGAATAATGACATGATTAATAAGAAGTTTTAGGAATAAAATTTAATGAAAGAAATTAATATATGCAGAAAACAATAAAACAATATAAGAACCGACCCATTTATATCTCTTTTTACATTTAGAAAAGATGGAATATTTTGTGACTCTGCTGAGGTGAATCACTAACTCTTCAAAAAAAATTAAAAGATAAATTTGGGGTTTTATTTTACACAGTACACAAAACAACTATAAGAAGGTGATTAAAAATACATAGAAATAGTATAACTTAATTTTTTTTGAAAATATACGAACATTTAGAAGTTTTGATACAGATGGATTATTTTAAATAAGATATAATTTAAAGTTTAAAGAAGAGTGGATAAATTTAACTATACTGATTTAAAACATCAGTAGGAAGGAGCACCAAAAGTTAGTTGGGCAGGGCACGGTGGCTCACACCTATAATCTCAGCACTTTGGGAGACCGAGGTGGGTGGACCACTTGAGGCCAGGAGTTTGAGACCAGCCTGGCCAACATGGCAAAACCCCATCTCTACTAAAAATACAAAACTTAACTGGGCATGGTGGCGGGCACCTGTGGTCCCAGCTACTCAGGAGGCTGAGGCAGGAGAATCACTTGAACCTGAGAGGCAGAGGTTGCAGTGAGCCGAGATCGTGCCAACCTCACTGTAGCCTGGGCCACAGGGTGAGACTCCGACTCAAAAAAAAAAAAATTAATTCAGACAGCAGTTACAGGATTTTATAAATTTAAATAGAATTGCATGAGAACATATCTTACAATTCAGCAAAATAATATGCAATAAATTATGTACAAAGATAAGAATCTCCTTAGGAGTCAGAAAAATGTAAATCAAAATGTCAATGATACATCACTTTAGACCCAACAAATGGGCAGAATATAAATTTTCCCTGAAAATACTAAATGCTGGCAATCATGTGAGGAGAGACTATTTTTAGAAACTATTAATAGAATGTAACCTGTGACAACCTCTTTGGAAATCAACTTGGCAGCATTTAAAGACGTGAAGATGTACATTGTCAATACACGGATTTCTATTTTCAGGTATGAGTCCTAAGTGACACATTGACATGGAGTCCTGAACAGTGATTTTTGTGGTAGCATTTGGTTTAGTAGCCAGAAAACCCTAATATTTCACCAGATTGACAAAACGGATAACTAAATTGTGATTCATTCATAACGTTTAGTATTTTAGAACAGTTTCAATAAATACATTAGCATACATAATTTCAGTTTACAGAAATCACAAAATCATAATGTTGAATATAGCCAAGTACAAAATTCTACACACACCATGAGGCCCTCAGTGTAGAAATAAAACACCCACGTATACACACAAAACAAAACTGTCGTACAAGATTGTGGACATATACATAAGAATGACATGTCCCAGCTGTCAGACCAAGCACAGGTATGTGGGTGCAATCAGCCTCTAGTTGTACTGTGATGTTTTATTAACCTTATATTAAGAAAGAAATCTGAGAAAAAATATTGGAAACTGTCCAATCTGTGTGATGAATACATGGTTATTCACTACATAATATTCTACACTTTATAATTAAAATTGTTAAAATAACATGCTTTCACAGATTGAAAAACCAAGAAAACATATATTAAGCTTTTACAGTTCCATAGAACATATACAATAATTTGCTTCAGGTATACTGGATAATGACTCAGATAGGCAGCAGGAAAGCAATTCGTCTTCATTTCTTGAAGAAGTAATGACTGATGTAGTGGATTAAATGGTATCTGCCCAGGCCGGGCACGGTGGCTCACACCTGTAATCCCAGCACTTTGGGAGGCCAAGGCGGGCAGAACACGAGGTCACAGGAGTTCGAGACCAGCCTGGCTAACATGGTGAGACCCTGTCTCTACTAAAAATACAAAAATTAGCCAGGCATGGTGGCGGATGCCTGTAATCCCAGCTACTCGGGAGGCTGAGACAGGAGAATCGCTTGAACCTGGGAGGCAGAGTTTGCAGTGAGCCAAGATCGCGCCATTGAACTCCAGCCTGTGCAATAAGAGCAAAACTCCATTTCAAAAAAAAAAAAAAAAGATATCTGCACAAAATTCATGTCCAGCTGGAACCATGGCAGGTGACCTTATTTTGAAACTGAGTATTTCCAGATGTAATTATGTCAAGGACCTTGAGAAGAGATAACTTGGATTTAGGATGGACAGCTAAATCCAATGACTGATGTCATTGATCATCAAAGAAAACCAAAGATCAGCAAAGAAAAGGGAGACGTGAGTTACACCGAAGGTGGTGTGAGGATGGAGGCAGAGATCATGGGGGATGCCTCTAACAGCCAGGGAACAGCCAGGATTTCCCCCAGAGGCTGGGACAGACACCTGAGCAGGTGCTGCTTCAGAGCTTCCAGAAGGAACCAATCCTGCTGACAACTTGATTTCAGACTTCTGGCCTCCCTGAAATGCGAAAGAATAAATTTCTGTTGTTTTAAAATACCCAGTTTGTGGTAATTTGTTACAGCAGCCCTAGCAAGCTAATAAAATTGGGTAGGCATTGAATTACGGATGGGAAAAATACACATAAAATCCAAATATATTTTCTGTTTGCTTGGCATAATAAATGGTCTGTCACAACCTTCGCTACTTTTAGAAATGCTGTCAATATATTTCTTTACTTCTTAAAATGAAAAGTCTGAATTTTAAGGATTTCCTTGAGTATACATATAATTCTAATATTATTCCATATATCGAAGATCCATGCATCAGACGTGATGAGGTGAAGATTCTAGCTCCATCCCGCCCCTCTGAATTTTAGATTCCAAATTCATAAAATAATGCTGTTGATAGAGTTGCCCTGGAGAGTTGTGGTCTAAAGTCATATAGCTCGTACTAGAAAAATTTAGCTAAAATATTTACAATCTGCATATCCATGTTGTCTTAGGCACGGCTGTCCAACGATGTTTCACAATGTTGCTCAAATGTCCCCCCAGAATGTTTAATAACAAAACACTGTGCTTATCTCTAGCTTCTCCACCTTTTCAAAATACTTCTCAGTCAGTCATTTAAAGGTAGTTTCAAACTTCTGTAGATAGATATTACTCTTTAAAAAAATGACTAGCACTACTAATAATAATATTGTAAAGAAGCCAAACACTTATAGAGTGTTCACTTGTGCTGTTTTGCAAATGTAATCTCAGTTAACTCTCACAACAACCCTATGAGGCAATAGAGACAATAATGGTATTGGCTGTAAGTATTTTTGAAGATTAAATGGTAGTGAATATATAATATTCAGAGGAGTGCCTAGTATACCTCAAATGTAGTATCCAGTAAATATTAGCTCAGATTCATGATGCACTGAGATTGCCCAATGGTCGATTTGTCTTAAGTGATTGAAGTGAGGTGCTCATTTTTAATTTATACTTTTTAGTTACCCCACTAGGTGTTAAGGATGAGATTTCAAGTTCTAATGTAAGAATGGAGACTAGCGTGCACTTGCAAAGACAAGTGAAAGGCAACAGTGTTCACAAGGATGTCCACTTCTGCTGCCTGTGCTTTGCAAATTAATATACTGTGGGGGAAATGGAACCTGCTGAGGTACTGCCTTGGGTGCAAATAGCCTCAAATGTTTTCTGCCCCACTGGTGTCAAGAACATTAGGTGATAAGGTTTGGCTCTGTCCCCACCCAAATCTCATCTTGAATTGTACTCCCATAATTCCCACGTGTTGTGAGAGGGTCCTGGTGGGAGATAACTGAATCATGGGGGCACTCTCCCCCATACTGTTCTCATGGTAGGAATAAGTCTCATGAGATCTGATGGTTTGATGAGGGCAAACATGTTCAATTGGCTCTCACTCTCTCTCTTTGCCTGCTGCCATCTATGTAAGATGTGACTTGTTCCTCCTTGCCTTCCGCCACAATTGTGAGGTTTCCCCAGGCATGTGGAACTCTAAATCCAAATAAACCTCTTTCTTTTGTAAATTGCTCCATCTCCGGTATGTCTTTATCAGCATATCAGAAAATAGGCTAATACATTGGGCATAACATGGTTTTTTTTTTTAGAGTTTCTATTTTTTTAATTAATTTTAATTTCAATTCTGGTGTACATGTGCAGGATGTGCAGGTTTGTTACATAGGTAAACATGTGCCACAGTGGTTTGCTGCACCTATCAACCTATCACCTAGGTGTTAAGTCCAGCATGCATTAGCTATTTTTCCTGATGCTCTCCCTTCCCCGACCTCATCCCCAGACAGGCCGCCTCAATGTGTGTTGCTACCCTCCCTGTATCCATACGTTCTCATTGCTCAGCTCCCACTTATAAGTGAGAACATGCAGTGTTTGACTTAAGCTCTCTGTTGCTTAATTGTGAGCATGTATTATGGTTTTGCAGAGGTCATGATTGCATTTTCCGTTTCTTGGGTCAAAATATCAGAGGCTTTTCCAAATGCACAAACTGACAGAAAACTCTAGGACAGCCTGCTGTGGTTACAAAGACAAGAAGATCCAAGAATTCACAGTGACAGAGAACATTTTGCTTAACAGATAGAAAAGGTTTTCATAGAAATAAATTGCTTAAAACTTTCCAAACAATTTAGAGAATGCATGATGGGGACTGAATAAAAAGGATCATGAAACTAAAATCAGACAGGTTTGTGCAGCTCAAATCCAACGAGCAGGGACACCATGATCTTGCAGTCCCAGTGCGGCCAGGACAAAGAACAGTCATTTCATCCTATTGCTTAAGAAGAAAACCTGAAGATAGCTACTGTTATCCAACTTAATAGGTTTTGGTGAACTCCTACTGTTATTATTATTTTTTGGTATACAAACCAGTAAAATGAACTACATATAGTCCTAATTACAAAATATATATTCAACCTTTCTCCACAATTTCTTTTCCCTTCATGAAGTCCAACAAAACTTTATTCTAGCTATTGTCTTTATGTTCATACAAACCAGAAAATTCTACTAAATTTGACTTCTGCTAGACTCAAAATTCTGGTAGAGTCTGTGAAACTAGATTTAATGAAACTTATTGTATCCTTTTCATTTTGTATACAAATATTTTTGTAGAATTTTAGCTTTCAAAATCTTAGCTTTATCATGGCATGTTGCAAAGTAGATGATACTGAACAGAGAGAAAGTTTTATTTATATTTACACAAAACATGCACACAGAGCCCCCACAGGGCCGTTGGCTAGCACTCCTACACAATTTCTAAGACTTTGATGGAAGGATATCTGAAAAGTTAACCTAAAAGATGGGGAAGAGGATAAGTAACTATTAGCTAATAAACAGGGAACATGTCAGTTTGTGGAGTTCGAAGTAAAGGAAAATATCTGTGCTGGCTGCTCCGGTCCCCAGATATAGCCTTAGACCTACAAGAGCTGTGAATCCTTAGAAATGACCCCCTAATGGGGAGAGCATAGTGGGAGGCCTGGAATAGAATCTAGGTTGACTTAATTATGCCGAAAAATATAGGCAGGTTTTTTTCTCTGTTAAAGACACCATTTTTGCTTATACATATATTTAATCCTTTATGGCCTAAGGGAAACAATGTGAAGCCCTAGGCTAACAGGAAATAATTTATTTCTGTGATTTTATTAAAGGGCTCGAAAATAAGCATTCTGAGAACTAGGGGAAAATAAAAAAAAAATTGAGCTATTTAGATTTGAGTGTAAAACAGCAGTTAGCTTATAATTACTTTAAAATACATAGTCTATTATGTAACATACACTTACCAATTGTTCACTGTCTCACAATGAACTGAAGGACAGAAAAGAAAAATGTGATTTAGGTTAAGTCTAGGAACAAACATCTTAAAGGGTTATTAAAAACAGAAAAAAATTTTCTCAAAGGAACACACAAATTACGTTTCAAGGAGTATATTAGTCTGGTCTCACACTGCTATAAAGGAATACCCAAGACTGGGTAATTTACAAAGAAAAGAGGTTTAATCCGCTCACAGTTCTGCAGGTTGTACAGGAAGCACAGCTGGGGAGGCCTCAAGAAACAATCATGGCAGAAGGAGAAGCAGGCACACTTTTAAACAACCAGATTTCCTTAGAGCTCTATCATGAGACCAACACTAGTCAGTGCTAAACCACTAGAAACTGACCCCAAGATCCAATCACCTCTCACCAGGCCCCACCTCCTAACTTGGGGATTACCATTTAAAATGAGATTTGGTTGAGGACACAGATCCAAACCACACCAAAGAGTGTTGTACAATAGAATAGTGTTTCCCTTGTCTAATATTTCTACACATTTGTCAGTGTGTTACATGTGTGAACATGTAACATCCCACAGTTTATCTCACAATATCTGCCAAAAAGAAGAAGTCAAAAGTTTGAAAATTTACGCTGAAACTATTTGCCGTTACTTGTCACAACAAAACAAACGCAGATGTGCTATTTCCCACAATCTCTGTGCAATCTTAATTTCCTGAAATACAGTTTCTTCCCATTTGATTTTACAACCTGTGTTTACTATTTCTGACAAATACAAACATGTTTATGTTACATGTGTTTACATTTGGATACATACATTTAAATTATGACAGTTTAGCATTTTCTCTTGAATTATAAACAATTCTATGAATACACTACTCTTCTAAAATTAAACAAAGTAATCTTGGCCTGTTTTTTTAGTTTGCTTGTCAGCTAATAACAAGTAAATACAGGCTGGATGCAATGACTCATGCCTGTACTGGGGGGCGGAGGCAGGAGGATTGCTTGAGCCCAGGAGCTCCAGGCTGCAGTGAGCTGTAATCACACCACCGCACTCTATCCTGGGCAACAGGGTGACACCCTGCCTCAAAAAGAAAAGTAAATACTTGTGGCACACACCTGTATAAAGTCACTGTACTTATTTTCTGTAGCTAGAAACAAGCAGAGAATTTATATCTGCTTTTCTGGCTTTAATAAACAAAAAAACTCCAGGAGACAGATTATTCATTTCACTATTATTTTCTGCCTTTTTCTTAAAAGTCAGATCTCCTTTTACCTGAGTCAAGGTGAGTGAACACTTCCTGCCAAACTCAGATGGCAGTTACTACTAGTGAGGCTCCCTGAGCATCTTACAACCTGGGGCAGAAATTTGCTGGTCTCAGTTTATTCATTTATATTTAAATAATGAGTTAAGAGAAAATCAAATTTAACATGTTATGCAGCATATTGCATTATGTTTAATAATACAAACCTTACCAAATTATTACTAAGTAATTTCAGCTGTAATCAAGCAAGATTCATGGGATGAAATCATCAAACTTGATCTTTGTCTCTTCTTACCTCCTTAAAATTGTTCTGGGAAAGCCTGTTCTGTAATGATTCTGATCATTCCCAGGGCATAAATAAACCTCTTTAATATGTCCAGGGCACTGTCTAAATGAAGATATCAGATTATTAAACTTCCTTCATGATGGCCCCAATTCCTGACTCTCACGAGTGCAGTTGGAGCGAGCCTTGGAGGGTGCAGGTTTTCCCTCATTTTGCCCACTTTCCCCATTTTTTGTGGCTTTGCTTTTCCTCCCTGTCTCACATCTGCAGGTTTTACCCCATCGTGGCCTCTGGAAGGAGAGCTCACATGGAGTCTAACCTGAGCAGCTGAATTCCTCAAAGACGGACCCTGTTCTTTCCTTCCCCTTACTTAGGCTCTTTCATATCCTGCTGACAGTGGCAGGTGCCCAATGTCTGTTGCTCACAACCTTCCCGTTACTGTCTTCTTGCTGCCCCGCAAACTCAGGAGAGTTCAGAGTGGGCTCCCATAATAATAATAGGATTATGGGAGCCCAAGCTGGACTTTAATCATAGTATAATTTTGACTCTAGCAGCAGTATCTTTACCAAGCCATTAGACCTGGTGGCAGGAAAGCCAATCACTTGCCTGTGTTTCTCAGGTGTGACTCAGACTTCAGTAGATCCAGAAGTGGCATAATCTGTCTCTGAGACCTTCTTAAGTATCTCCTTCTTGAGGTGAATCTGCCATTTACATCGGTAATAGTCTCATGATTTCACTTTCGTGACTGTTTTGTACCTTAAATATGGAGGAGAGACCTAGGTTAGAAGCAATCTTAAATCTTTACAAATATCGCATGTCTGTATTTATCAGCTGAAATAGAAACCAAAATAGTTCAATTTTAACATCCTAGTATACATAGTAAAAGTTGGTGACTTCGGGGCACAAAAAGAGGAAATAAGTCATTTCTCTGAGTTATGATAAATATTTCTTAAATACAGTTTATTTGGGGAGAAGGAATCCAGGGAGAATGCTCCAATGAATTACTTCTGAAAGACCTTTAGTGAACAGAAGAATTAAATTTAGTATATGTTATCAATGCATTGTTTTTATTAAACATAATTTAAGATCGTTGGATATCTTTTCAAAAATACCGAAGTATTAGGCATTGTTTCTCCAAAAACAGAAGTTATGGTAACAGATAAAGAGTTCCATGATTTAGAGAGTAAGGTATATGCAGAGAGCTACAAAGAAAAGAAAATTCAGTAAAGCGAGTAATCAGATATTTTATGGAGAGGAAGCAACACCATGATGACTATCTGGTGCAGAAATAGTGGAACAAGTTACGGGTAGAGGTTCTTGCTTTGCAGGATACACAGGCTGATGATGGCTGATACCTTCACAGATGTTCTCAAAGCCCCCTCCCACTGCTGACCCCACATCAAGAAGCTCAGCCTCCACTTTTCTCAAACTCATCCTTCTCCTAACTCCTGCCAGCACATCCCTGTTCAAGACCCCTGGCTTAGAAGAGCCCGGCTGACCCCTCACAGCTCTGTGCAGCTCTGAGGATGCAGCCATGTTGCAGCCACTACTTTCAAATCAGTATTCATAAAACACATTTATTACAACGTGTCGTCTTGAAAATTCATCAGTGATTCTCACCAAAACATTTCCGTAAAAATGCTCTCCATGATCTTCCTCCACCCCTTATTTTACACAATTATCTTCTCCTCCCCCATAGGCAGAGGCCACCAAAGATCAGCCCTGCATTTTACTAAACACAATTTTTATTTATCCAGTCACTGCAAAACAGTAACAACGATATTGACCCACGCATTCAGCATAACAAAGCCCAGTGTGAGAACTATCTGAGCGCTACTTTGCCTGGGCTCAGAATGTGGTACCCAAATATACGGCATGTTGGAGATTAAGAAAATGCAGGAGCAAGGTCACTCTGACCTTCCTTTGCCTTTCTCCCCAAAAGCAGGCCATAAAGGAATTTTCTGACCAACCTTGCCTGAAATACCCTCATTCTAGATGGGTCCTGCCGTATACCCAGAAGCCAGGGGCACTCTGAACACACATGCCCTGCTAAAGTCACCCCAGTTGGTCCAAACCTGCTCCCGCACGGTTGTCCATTCTTCATTGAACCAAAGCATAAACATGGACAATTTTCCCTGGGTCTTTGGGGTTTCATTTCTAAAGGCTCCCATGTCATATAAAATTTTGATTAAATAAATGTGTTGGGCTTTTCTCCCATTGATCTGTCTTTTGGTGTGGGATGTCAGTATGAACCTTGCGGTGGGAAAGGGAAAGATAAGATTTTTTCTCCCTCACACATATTAGCATCCAAATCTACTGCATTACAGGGTTTGCTTTTGAGGTCAAATTCAAACATTACCTCCTTCTTGAAACTGTCATTGATTCACATAGTTCCCTGGTCAGAAGAAATTCCTCACTCCTCTATCCTCTAAACGCCTGTAAGGATATCTTTCCTGTCTTCTTCAAACTCAGTAGCACACAATTTGTGCATCTGGTTTCTTATTTACCAGATTTAAAAAATGGAACAGTAGTACCTAAATAAATATTACTGGATTAAATGTGCTATTTGTACTGGTACCATGCACTAATGTATTAGATTGACGTATATGTAATTGTGTATTTTGCCATTGTAATTGCAAAAACCGTAATAATTTTTGCACCAATCTACTACTAAAGCATATGTTGTGAAGTGTGTGTGTGTGTGTGTGTGTGTGTGTAGTGTGTTGAGAAAAATCTAGCAAATTCCTTTAATGATCTGCTTTTATAGAAATTGGTTTTACACTCCTGTTCCTACTGACTCCTGCTTCTAATTAAATCATAAAATAGCAACAGATTTAGTTTTTGGAAATTTTTCTTTCAAATATATAATACTTCAAAATGAGAAGAAAAGATAACTCACAGTCATGTAGGAATTGCAGAACCTCTCTGCTGCTTCCCGCGCACCTTGGGCTTTGCCTAATTCATCTTGTATATGCGTGCAGTGATGAATATGCATTGTTTCTTGGTGAGCACAGGAGGGTCCCAGAGAGGAACACTAATTCTTGTTCTCTAATTTGTGGTGCGCTCTTAACAGAGCGCATTTAACACATTCCACACCTTGGATTATATCCTTTTCCAAAAATAGCTTTAAAAAATACCTTTTGCTGAAAGCATCCTACATTCTCTTTTTATATATAAAAAAAGTAAAAATCTGAGCCTTTATGGTATTCTACAATATTTTATGTAGAACTTTGTACTGTTATTTTCAACGTTCAAATAACGGGAGGAAATTTACACCTGGACTCCACAGTCTCCCATGACTTGTGGAGAAAGGATTTGTAGCAAATCAATCTACGACCAGAAGATAGATATGTGTACTTTTTCCTCAATTCGAGAAGCAACATCAATCTTTACTGTGAGCAGCAATGGAAAAACAATGCAGAGAAAGATTACGGAAGACAAAGCCAGAGGAGAACAGGGGCTGGAATATTCTGCCAGGGGTGGCAACTCCGACGTGGGATTCATTAATGCAGTGAGAGAAAGACGGTGTTTGGTTTTTAGGCTGGCATCCCCCGGTGAAGACAATTTTTTAAGGGATTTAGCATTGTCATCAGACTTCTTAAGCCCTGCAGCGGAATTAATAACATATTAGGGGATTCTTCTGCAGTTTTTGCCTGAAGTGTTTTTTTTTTTTTCAGGTGAGTTTCAGGTTCCTTCCATTCTAATGAAGGCATTAAGAATTCTCTTGGGAGCATTATAAGTTAGAACTGAAACTTATGCAAATATTTTTCCCCGTAGCAGTTTGGGCGTACTACAGTCTCTAGCTTCCAGTCTTTGCTCGCTGAAATGAATGTTTCAACAGCTTCATGCCAGTCTGGTCGCCACAAAACCCTAAATTGTGTGTAATATTTTATGCTAGTGATCAGTTGCATACAACACAAATAAGACTGTTAGGCTCATAAAGTTGTTAAGCTGACATATTTCAAAGGAAACTCTTCTAAAATAAAACCTTTCTTAAGGTTAAAAATGCATTTTTCATAGTACAGAAAAATAAACAATAACTCTGAATGTTATTACTGTTGACTTTAAAAAATCATACATTTTTGTCTTTGATTTTTATCATGCTCTTATTTGAATATGACAATATTCTCTCGATTAGTCTTGGCACCCTTATCAAGCATCATTTGACCATATACGTAAGGGTCTATTTCTGAGCTCTTTCTTCTCTTCCTTTGGCCTATATGTCTATCTTTTTGTCAGTAACCACAGTGTTTGATTAGTATAGCTCTGTAGTAAATTTTGAAAGAAGGAAGTGAGTCCTTCAACTATGTCCTTCTTTTTCAAAATTATTTTGAGCTGAGCACAGTGGCTCACTCTGTGGGAGGCCAAGGTGGGGAGATCACTTGAGCCCAGGAGTTCTAGACCAGCCAGGGGAATAAAGGAAGACCCCGTCTTTACAAAAAAAAAAAAAATGTTGGGTATTCAGGATCCTTTAAGACTTCACACAAATTTTAGGATAATTCATTTCTATTTCTGCAAAAAAATGCTGTTGGGATTTGTACAGAGATTGCACTAAATTTGATCTTTCTTGGTAGTATTGGCAACTTAACAATAGTCTTTAAATTCATGAAAATGAGATTTTTTTTCCATTAATTGTGTGTCTTCTTTAATTTCTTTCAGCAATATTTTATAGTTGTGGCTGTGATATTTTTAGAAGTTGATTGACAATGATGAGATGCACGTGTTTTAAACTAAGAAGAAACCAGCTCAGTTGTGCTGTCACTAACATTTTAAGCTTTGGCTTTTTTTATTTGCGGAATTGATAATGTGTTTTTCAAAGGATTATAAAAAAGATAAAATGAGATAGTTTCGACTAAGCACTTATCACACACAACTTGACACACAAATAAGTAAACTGTTGTTGTATAATAATTGTTGATATATTTGTTGTTGCCACCAGTAATTAGAATTTTAGTTATTTTGGTTACTAGAGCAAGATTGAGCAAGATTAAGGGCAACTTTTTGTTTATTATTTACGTAGAGGAGACAGTAGCATAAATGTATCAAACAATTTGAAATACAGTTTTATAAAAACAATCAAAATATCAGTTTTTTAAAATTCTGACTGAAAGTAAAGAGATTAAGACACCAACATATATCACTGTGAATTCAAACAAGAACACGCACTTTCTTTAGGCCTATTTATCATAATTACTCAGGAAAGTTCAAGAGAATAAACAGTGAATATAGCACTAAAGCAGAAGTTTCATTTAAACATAATATTTTAGACAAAGTCCAAATGAGAAATAACACGTTTCCTTTTTACTTCCAGCAACTCACGTAACCTCTTAGAGATCTATAATCTCCTTGATAATATTTTATAGATCACAGATTCAAATTTTTGTCATTTATTTACAGTCTTCTACCATTCCATTATGTTTCCGTCTTGGAATTCTTAGAACCAACCTTTTAAGAGAACATGATTTCCTTAAGAAATGGTGAAAAGCAGTATGTAATATACTGTATGTCTTTGCTGACTGCATTGCAAATGAGTAACATAGAGTTACACTGAAGAGGTTTTTGAAGAGACAATCCATGCAATTTTAACTGAAATAAATATCTCAGTGTTAAAAAAAAATATGCAGTTTGTTTCCTACATATTTTTAATAATACGCACTTCAGTAGTCTTGGCCAGATTGCAGATATATACATACATATCATGTGTGTATTTTTAACATTGGTAAACTACTAAATTTATAAAGAAATGCCAGTCTGATTTCCTATTATCAATATAAAAATGTAAAGTTTATATATAATGGTCAAAATAGCCATTTGTTTCTTCTAAGGGAAAATGTGAAAATTAATTCTTAATATAAATTTTCCCAGTGACTTATATACAGATAAATAAAATTTATTTAAGATTTAAAATTAGTACTGCCCTCCTTGCCCCAGGATTTCCATGCACCTGTTATAAAAGAGTTCGGAAAGGGAAAATTGGATAAGTGTTTTACCCTTGAAAATTGACAGAATTAATTAAGGGAAAAGGAAAATCAGACATCCTGTTTTGGATTGAACTGTGTCCCTCAAAAAGATATGCTGAAGTCCTAATTTCTGGTACCTGTGTATGTGACTTTATTTAGAAATTGGGTTTTTGCAGATGTAATCAAGTTAAGATGAGGTCATTCTGGAGCAGGCTGGGCCTTAACTCCAATCACTGGTATCCTTATGAGAAGAGATACAGAGACAGCCGGAGAGTGCACCTGGTGATGATGGCAGAGCCTGGAGTGATGCATCTACAAACAAATGAATGCCAGGAAATGCAGGCAAGAACCAGACAATTGGAGAGAGGCTGGGGCAGCTTCTCTCCCAAAGCCCTCACACAGGAACCACACCTGTTGACATGGTTTGGATCTGTGTCCCCACCCAAATCTCATGTCAAATTGTAATCCCCAGTGTTGGAGGAGGGGCCTGGCGGGAGGTATCTGGATCGTGGGGGTGGATTTCCCCCTTGCTGTTCTCATGATAGTGAGTTATCATGAGATCTGGTTGTTTAAAAGTGTGTGGCACCTCCCCACTTGCTCTCTACCTCCTGGTCCAGCCCTGGAAGATGTGCCTGCTCCCTCTTCACCTTCTACCATGATTGTAAGTTTCCTGAGGCCTCCCCAGCCATGCCTCCTATACGGCCTGTGAAACCATGAGCCAATTTAAACCTCTTTTCTATATAAGTTACTCAGTCTCATGTAGTTCTTTACAGCAATGTGAGAGCAGGCTGATGCACCTGCCCACACTTTGAATAGGGGCTTCTAGCCTCCAGGACTGTGAGAGAATAAACATTTGTTGTTTTCAACTCACCTAGTTTTTGTTATTTTATTATAGCAGCTCTGGGAAAGCAATACACATAGAATCAGAGTGGAGGAAATCTTAGATTTACTAACCAAAGAGAAAAAGAGCAGGTTAGGCTCCAGAGACCCCAGACTCAGAGGCCCCTGTGGATCTACCAGACTTGCTGGCACCTGATAAGCGAAAATTTATCATGGTTTTCTTAACACAGTGGGAAAAAAGGCCAATGGCGTCATCAAATCCTGCTTCCTAGCTTAGCAACATCAGTGAAATCGCATCACCTTTGACAACTCCAGGGAAACACATTATTTTATTACACGGATTGAGGAATGGTGAGACAATCATTGAAACAGGCCTTGCATCAAGTCACATAATTCATCACTGCAGACTGTGGGAGGAGCAGGGATCTTCCTTGCAAAATCGTATGGTACTGATAGTGTCAAGTACTGTCATTAAAAATAATGGTGGCAAAAAATGGGTCAATTTCAGAACAGTAACTTAACATAAGGTCATGGATGATTTCAGCGATCATCTATAATTGCACACAACTTTTCTAATCCCTTGAATATATATTATCATCTTTGATTCTCACGGTGGACCTGCAGAAGAGAAAAACTATACTAATCCCTGTTTCACAATGAATTTGAATCACAGGTTAGGAGGCTAATACAGGTATATGAAGTTATTGTAATGGCAATTAAAACTACTAACATCTATTTCTGATTCAGTTATGCAGGAACATGATGAATTATCAAAATGTAGCATTTTCCCCAAATCTGCTCCTTTAAAAATTTACCAACTAAGCTTAATTATTCTTTTCACATTAAATTCACATATACATATAAAAATATTTGTGTGTATATATGAACATAATTATGTATATATGCATGTATATACAAGTACATACACATGTATATGTACTTTTGAAGGTACCATGTAAAGTGTGTTCAATTTGATTATCTCATATGTTTATCTTGGTTCTTTGCATCAAAATAAAATCTAATTGCTTTTGCCATTATATTGTTCTCTATTCCTCTGGGGACTACACAACTTTTTCATAAAGATTCTATTTCTGTTCCTGAGATGTAGTAATGTGTTCATGTACTCAGCATTCTATTTGATGGTTTCATTTGTATTTCTACTTTACTGGCATTGGAGGTTAGCCCTGTCCCTTTACACTTGGGTTGGGAAGGAGCTCACAGAAAAAGACTCTCCCAGCACAGAGGGACCTCTGGTGGCCCCACAGCCCCTCATCTGTGTCCCTGTGGCCGGCAGGCAGCCCTTATCCATTCCAGCTGCCTCCATGGTGTTTACTCTGAAGGAGTCAGAGTAAGTTGTGTTTCTGTTAATCATGTGGAATGCTAATGTCTTTAATGCCAATGAGTGTCGCCATGTAAGGTCCTTCTGTCATCACCACATATTAATGCAAACATGGCGCCCATGGAAGTGAGGGCGAGAGACTGTGCAGGGCAGATCTCATTCACAAAGGGTGATGCTCAGCATCTGAGTACAAGCCAAGATCCATCCATGAGAGAAGACAGAGGTGAGATTAGAAGGAAGGAAATAACCAAGCCCATCAGAGACATTTTGAAAATTGTCCCATAACTGCCTTGAATAGAAATAAAAGATACAAGAATTTACTTTTCTACTAATGTCTGTTGTTTTATAATATTCTACTTTTCCTGATTGGAGCATATGAAACTATCCAAATTCAAGCATTATCAAATTTAAAGATGGGTTATGTAAAAGTCAAAATCTTCCAGATTGCTGTAGCACCCTAGAAAGAATTATTATCTAACATTTTAAATATATATTTAATTTTTTTCTTGTATACTTACAGGTATATACTATATTTTTTGATAAAAAGTGGATCATATCTCATACACTGTGGGGCAAAATGTTATTTTCTTTTAGCTATTTTACTTGCACATGATTTCATGTTAGGAAATATAGCTGTCCATAATTCTTTTTAAGCAGAATATGGTAGTTTTTTAGTAAGAATATGCTTATAATTTATTACATTTTATTAAAATTTTCCTGATGAATATTTGAATTATTTCTAACATGTCACTAATTTAAACAGTGCTGCATTTTGATATATATTATTTAGACACTTAAGAAAATATTTCTAGAGGATAAATTCCTGGAAATAGAAATGTCAGGTTACACAGCAGATACTTTTAAGGTTTTATGAGACATTACCAAAATGCTTTCTAAAATGTATCAATTCATTCTTCCATTAAGATTGTAGAAGAGTGCCTGTTTCTCAACAGCTTTCCAGCAAGGATACCACCATTTCTATAGTTAAAAAATATTAATAGTCCAGAAGCGATACATTTATTATTAAGTTATCAATTCTGTAAATTTTAGTAAGCTTGGGCATGCATTAATAAGTTAATTAGGCTCCATTCTTTTGCAGTGAATTGCCTATTCATATCATTGCCAATATATTATAATACTGTACTCTTGCCAGAGATCCACATGTGATTTTGTTAACAAGATTTCATAGGCAGTAGAATGAACCTTCTATGTGTTCACAAAGTATATAACACAGAACTGGCCAATACGAGATCTGCAATCATTATACTCAATAATTGTTGCAGGTTTAATAATAATTAAGTATAAACATTTTTCTAATGGCCCTCTAACTTTCCTTATAGTTGCTATATTGTTTTGTAAAAGTACTAACTATAGAATTTTACCACTGTTTATTTCCAGAAGAACTTTATTTCCTTTATAAAAACTATTCTATATTCTAGTCTTTGCTTTAACCAACACAATTGTCTGAAGTTTGCAGAGTGCTATACAGATATATACTTAGTAATATGAAAATTATCCCTAAAAGGGTCAAAGTTAAGTATTATTGACGTAGTTTGCATATTTGTGCCCCAAAATCTCATGTTGAATTGTAGTCCTCAGTGTTGGAGTTGGGGCCTGGTGGGAGGTAACCAGATCATGGAGGTGGATTTCTCATGAATGGTTTAGTGCCATTTCCTTGGTGCTGTCCTCGGGAGAGTGAGTGAGTGCTCTTGAGATCTGGCCATTTAAAAGAGTGTGGCACCTCCCTCTCTCTCACTTGTTCCTGCTCTGGCCATATGACTGTCTGTTCCCCATTCGCCTTCTGCCATGACTGGAAGCTTCCTGAGGCCTCCCCAGAAGCCTACCAGATGCTTATACCATGCTTCCCACACAGCCTGCGGAACCGTGAACCAATTAAACTTTGTTTCTTTATAAATTACCCAGTCTCGGGTATTTCTTTATAGCAATGCAAGCACAGCCTAATACAATTTCCTAGCAAAATTCTCCCTCCTGTGACAAGATAATTATGTTCTAAAGGATAAAGTCTAGGTTTGTTCCAGGCCCTGGTCATCCATCTGGGTCATCCCTATGTTATAGGACAAATCTGCTCTTTATGTCTTTAAATGTCTTTCTAATATGTTTTTTATTATTCTCACAATGTGTGTCTGACACACACAGATCTTTAATGAATTGATCATCTTGCATTATGTACAAAAGTGTAATCACTGAAGTGAACAGCTGTCATCAAAGAGTTTCCATGTTCCACCACACGTGTTGTCCATTTAAAGACCCCTCTGTCCCAAGGGCTATGCCTAGAAACACATTTAAGGATTGGCTATTCCCTAGAGTCACTGCAGAACAAAAACCCTGTCAGCACTGGAGCCCAGCCTGGTTGGGAAATGATTTCAGTTATATCAGAACTAGATTCCTCAAAGCACAAAAATGTTCAGAAGCTTAAAAATTTTCTCAATATGTTAGTTATAATTTTTTTTTAATTTTATATTTGCTTTCTAGAGTCTGAAAGGAATGTTAAATTTTTCTGGGAATTAGTACAACTATTGCTTACAAACTATTTTAAATAGCTGTATTTCCTCAATTTCTTGGGCTTGAGTTTTGTCTAGAAATTACAGTGAGAAAACTGCAAGTCCTCGTGTGCAGCGGTTGGCCCTTTCAAGGAGTCTGCAGTTTGCAATGACGACCATCCTGCTGCGGAGACCAACAACAGCAAAATTAACACACAGAGAGAAGAGCAAAGTGGAGTCTTCAAAGCATTTGTATTTGTAGGATGTAACTGAGGAAGAGTTAACTCCATAAGATAAGATAGCAGTTATCAAATCCTCGAAGGACTGGTCTGTTAGATAGGCATTCTATTCACTCTGAACCACTCAATCAGCTGGAACCAGAACAACAGAGTGAGAGCAACTGAGAGATGATTTCAGTTTCATATTAGGAAGAATTGGACAGCAGTGATCTCGCAGATGGTATCATTGGCTTCAAAAGGTTCTCAGTCCTGTGTCTCTGCAGGTATTCAAGCTGAATGGCCTTTGGGAAGAGATACTATTGGGAAGGATTGAGTGTCAGATAAGATGGACTCACTGAATGCCTTAAGAACATGCCAGTCATTTTAAGGGGAGAAAGTGCAGTAAAAATGGAGGATCCTGTGGAAAGGGCTATGTCCTACATTCTTTAACATACTCTCAAAAGCAAAAACACACACTGATGTCTACCTCAGTGCTGAAGGACAAAGACACACAGTGAAATCAAAGCACACCTATCACAAACCACACGTTACTCTCAGAGGCAGGGGCTGCTCCCTACCTCCTATCCCAGGTACTGTGTGCATGGCATTGAAGAAGAGGGGGTTCAAGTGTCGGGAACATGAAAATAAGAAACCGGAAAATACTGGACAAATTGAAACAAAAAGCGTTTTCATTGACTTTTTTAATATTGTGGGGGATGCTATATTCCTGAGCAATTTATACTGCATTCATCTAGGATTTTTCAGTTTAGAAACAGCGTCACAAGAGGTGATAAACAGCAAAGCATAAAACACCATGAGAAGAGCTATAATTCAGCACCTAAGAGGTTGGTGAACCAACAGGAAGATAACTCTCATCCTGGGAAATCTTCTGTTACAGGCAGTGAGCACAGAGTGGGACGATTAGCAATGGCAATAGCAGCAACAGAGGCCACAGCTGGACTGCAGGTCCTGACAAGGCATAGACCTAGGACAGTGTTGTCTGGGACACCAAGGCCTGCTCAGGAGGCTGAGTGGCAGCATCGGTCAGCGGGGGGGACAGTGCAGAGGAAGAGAGTGCGGATAAATGAGTATGAGTTTAGCAAACTAATGCAGGCACAGAAAACCAACGACCACATCTTGTCACTAATAACTGGGAGCTAAATGAGGGGGACACATGGACACAGGAAGGGGAAAAACAGACACAGGGGCCTACTGGAGATTGGAGGGTGGGAGGAGGGAGAGGTCAGAAAAGAGTAGCTAATGGGAACCAGGCTTAATACCTGGGTGATTAAATAATCTTTACGACAAACACCCAGGACATGGGTTTACCTATAGAACAAATCTGCGCAGGTACCCCTTAACTTAAGATAAAAGTTAACAAAAACAGAGAAAGCTGCTGCTAGATACCTAGACTGTAAAGGCGGAAATGAAAATTAGGCATGTGTCTGCAGAATGTGCACAACTATTCACCCATGGGGCCGGTGCATGACAGGTCAAGGATTCATTTAGCCATGCTGTGTGCATGCGTGTGTGGATGCATGTAACATAGATAAAAGTATTTCTTTTTCTTTTCTTTCTTTCATTTTTTTTTTTTTTGAGACAGAGTCTCACTCTGTTGCCCAGGCTGCAGGCTGAAGTGCAGTGGTGTGATCTCAGCTCACTGCAACCTCCACCTTCTGTGTTCAAGTGATTCTCCTGCCTCAGCCCCCTGAGTAGCTGGGACTACAGATGTGCACCACCAAGTTTTGCCATGTTGGCCAGGTTGGTCTTGAACTCCTGACCTCAGGTGATCCTCCCACCTCGGCCTCCTAAAGTGCGGGATTACAGGTGTAAGCCACCACATCTGGCTGCATAAAAGTATTTCTTAAAGAATCTGGTTCTTTCAAATATACAAGTTCCTTCAGAGGTCAGGCTCTCAATTTTTTCTTCTGCATATCCTAGCCTTTCTCAGCCCAAAACTGCAGCACCTCACCACCTTCCATTCTGCCTCTACTTCCTCCATTTGTCTGTGAGCATCAGACCTCACATTAGTCTTACCCATTGGACACTATGACTGCCTAACTCCCCCAAATGGGAATCCCTCCACTCGTCTTCAGTGCCATTCCAACAGCCCACCCTTGACAGCCACCTCCTCTCTCTTCGCAGACTCAGACATCTCACATCCAAGCACTCTGCTCCCTTGCAGCAATCTCCTCCTTTCTTACTTACACACTCCACATCCCATCAGTGAAATTCCTGCACTCGTTTGAGTCTTCTCTCATCTCTCTGCAAACCTCTCAAGATCTGTCTCCCAGCCTCAAGTTTCCCCTTATTCCGCTGAGATTCCACTGTCCATCATGAAAGTTTTTCTCTTGCAGAGAACCTCCCTTGCCTCCCCTCTCCGTATTTCTCTGTGGTAGTAGCCTGGCAAGGCTCTCGCTGCTGAAATGCAATGCTACCTTCTGCAGCCCCGCCCTCGACACCCTATCTTCTTCAGAGACTGCTCCATTTTTGTCCTCCTTCACATCAAAACTTACTTTAAAAGTTACTTTTAGGCCAGTCACTGTGACTCACAACCTGTAATCCCAGCACTTTGGGAGGCTGAGGTGGGAGGCTTGCTTGAGGCCACAAATTTGAGACCAGCCTGGGCTACAGAGTGACACCGCCTTTCTATATACAAAAATAAAAAATAAAAACAACTTATTTTTAAGGTCTCTTTTTCTTATGCCATATTCTCTCCTCAATCCACTCAAAGCTGGCCTCACTTCTCACTGTTCCAGTTCCAAAGAGAATAAATCTGCCAGGGTCTGCAGATACCTCCTCTATGTCTTCAAATCAAACAGTCACGTCTGCCTTTACAGCTGACATCAGGGACGCATATTCCACAGGAGTCGCCACTCTGCTTAGCGAGTGTCTTCCTTTCACTGACTTCCTTTTTATCTTTCTCCGTTGTCTGTCAAAGGTCCTGCCTGATCACGCAATAGTTAAATGCTGTGGCTCTCCCAGGGACCTGTTTGGGGTCCTTTTCCCCTCTGACACACACATTATCTGCAGTTGATCTATCCAGTTTAATAATTTTAAATGCCACATATTTGTAATGACTCTCCGAAGTCCAGGTTGACCTCTCCTTATCCTTATCTAATGAGAATCTCAAACTTTGCAGCTCAAAACAAAGTCTTTATTTTCATTCATCCTGAATCCTACACCATTTCATTCTCCCCCAGATCTGTGTAATGTCACCATTAGGAATTTAATTGCCTAAGCCCAAAATAAGAGTTATCTTTGATTCGTCTTTCCATTTCCTCATATTCAATTAATTGATTCTTGTCCATTCCATCTACAAAACATTTCCAGATATGTCTAATTTTTTGAACTCCACACTGCTCCAAATCCTCATAATCTATCTTAAATTAATATAGCAGTGTTCGAAATTATCTCTTTTCTTCTTTATGTCTCTCTTGAAAATCTTCTATTCAAGCAAACAGTCAGAATAATTTTCCTTTTTTTTTTTTTTTTTTTTTTTTTTAAGACAGGATCTTGCTCTGTCGCCGAGGTTGGAGTGCAGTGGCACGATCTCAGTTCACTGCAACCTCTGCCTCTTGGATCCAAACAATTCTTGTGCCCCAGCCACCAAACAAGCTGGGACAAGCCACCATGCCTCGCTAGATTTTGTATTTTTGGTAGAGACGGGGTTCCACCATGTTGGCCAGGCTTGTATCGAACTCCTGAGCTCAGGTCATCCACTCACCTCTACCTCCTTTAATGCTGGGATTACAGGCATGAGCCACCACACCCAACCCCAAAAATCATTTTTAAATGGTGTCAAACCTTGTTTAAAATATGCTAAAGGCTTAAAATAAACTCAAAATTCTTGGCCTGGATTAGGAAAACCAGAGCAATAAAAATAAACTTAAAAATATGACCTCATCTTAAAACATCCTCCCTTTTCACTCACTGCACTCCCAGACAAGCAAGCTTGTTGCTACAGTGTCTATATAATACGCATGCACATAACACCACATGTGTTCACATCAGCTCCTCCCTCAGCCGGAGACACTGGCTTTCCTTGTGTAGATCATTCCTTCCATCACTCGGGTACTTCTGAGAGAGATTCTCAGACCATCCAACCTGAAGAAACCATTCAACCATATTTTTACTATTGGTTTATTAGCTTACTGCATTACTTTTAACGGCGAAAACCTCAATAAATTTTGCACCAAGCTAATACATCATCTCTCCCATCTATTTTAATTTCTGATATAAAAGGAGGTCCTCTCTCAGGTCATAATTGAAAAACTTTTTTCAAATGCGTCTCCTAGAAACTCCTAACAGCAGTAAACAACTCAAGGAAAACTGTTATAGATTGAAGATCATTTAAACTACTTGGGAAAGAAAGACTCCCATATTTTTTCCTTCCTTTGCTTTGTTCTTGGGTACTCATTGTCAAGGATGAAATGTTCCATTTAGCTTTTAAGTGAAAGCCTTTAGGCATTCATTCAATTATTTTTAAACAAACTTGACTCCTTATATATTATGTACCAAGCACTGTTTATGTCAACAAAACAGACAAGGATCCTGGCGTCAGGGAGCTTCCGCTTTAGTCTGAGAAGCAGATAAGAAGCAAGCCAAAACAATGTTGAATTTTTACACTAAAAAAAAAATGCTCTGTCGGACCTCTCATTCTCTAATATACACAACCTTGTGATTGACAAGTTTCCCACAGAATATGTTTTATCCAGCTGGGTAAGATAAGAAAATCATTATTGTCAGGATGAAACTAAGAGGATCCACATATTACTGTATTATCACGGTCTGAATCAGCAGCAAAATGAAATATGCAACTCCCCAAACTATGCCTCTCATCGCCAGTGTACTACATAAGAAAGACAAGAACCCAGTTTATGTTCAATATCTTCTATGTCTAGAATGCTGTTTAGATAATGTTTTAACTAGGCAGTATATTACTTTTATGAGGCAACTAAATTCTCACAGCCATTCAATAAGCTACTTTTAGTCTAATAATCCACAACTGAATGTGGTCATGGTTTTTTGCAGAAGTTAAAAGGTTTAAACACACCAAGGAATTTTAATTAAAGCATAACAAGGGTCAAGTGCCACCTACAAGGGCAATAGGACCTGTGTGAGAGGGATGTGGGTGGGTGCATTGGGTTCATCACCTTCATCACTTCACAGGTGCCCATAATTTTGTGCTTCGTAGGCAGAATTGCATAACATGTTTACATCAACTTTGTAAAACCGATGGTAATACCCAATGTAACAGATGAAGAAAAGAAGAGAGACTGCATGAGTTCCTCAAGTCTATATTGGGTGGCCCCATAATACAACCTGGCTGTTGTCCTTAAAGAAGATGGTGAAGTGGCATCATCTCACACCAAGAAGATTAAGGACACAGACACACACTAGGAGTGAGTTTAGGAGCAGAGGTTTAATCTGCAAAAGACGGAGAAAGGAGAGAAGCTCTCTCTCTCTTGTGAGAGATTGGTTGCACCAGGTGTGATGTTTACATAGCACGTGGGCAAGGCTGGTCACCCCACCCTAATCTTATTATGCACATGGGGTCTTTGCCTGACTGGCACCATATTGTCTTCCTACTGTACACATGGTTTGGCAAAGAGATGGGAAGATGGAGCCACCATTTTGAACATGCCTAGTCCCAGGTAGCCTTTCCTTATTGGCACAACTGCTGGCATTTGCCTGTACAAGCTCCCAGCTTGCTTGTCTATGTCTGTAGCTTGATTTTACAAGCTGCTCTTTGTTAGAAAAGAAAATGATTTGGGGGCTACTTTTCATTAAAAGGAAAACCTTACCTAGGACTCCTGTATCCTCACTATCTGCCTAATTGATTTCTTCTTAACTCCTATATCAATGGCAATATATAGTCAGAGACACTCATGAAGGCAAAGATTGGAGTGGTGAAGCTGCAAGCCGAGGAATGTCAGAGATTGCCACCAAACCATCAGAAGCCAAGAAGAGGCCAGGAAGGATTAGCCCCTACAGCCTTCTGAGGGAGGGGGCCTTGCTAACACCTTGATGTTGGACTCAGAGCCCCCGAAGTGTGAGGCAATAGATTCTTGTTGTTTTGGATACCCAAATAGTGGTACTTTGTTATGGAAGCCCCAGGAAATTAACACACTAGGCTTAGACCAAGAAGTCTTAGACCAAGAAGTCCCCATGGCCCCGGGGATTCGAGGTTAGGCATTTGGATGGATTCTAAAGATCACATTCATATATTTAAGGATGGATTGGATGTCAGGTATGTGATAAAGACAAAATCAAGGTTTCTGGACTAGGAAACTGGGAGTAAAGTTGCCATTTACTGATTTGGTGAAGACTTTGAAGGGGCAGATTTAGAGGGAAACCAGGAACCTTATTTTATATGTGTTAACTTTCAGGTGATTATTAGACACCCACATAGATATGAATTCAGGGAGAGCTACATGAGTCGAAAGTACAAATGGAATTAGAGACATGCAAATGTGATTGCACAGCAAGTGACACTAACTAGAGAAGAGGGAAGCCACAGGAATGCAGCCCCAGGGCATTCCAGCATTAAAAGCTTGGAAGATGAGAAGGCCCCAGCACAGCAGAGGAGGAAGGGGAAAACAAGGAAGAGAGTCAATAGAGAATGGAGCCCAGAAATCAAGTAACGATGGAGTTTTCAGGAGAAAGTGATCAACGATTTCAAATTATACTAATAAAACAGCACTCAGAGTCTGAATGTTGATCTTTAGATTTGGAATGTTAGAGGCAGTGGTAACAACAGTAAGTGCCATTTTAGTGGCCTGGAGAGGAGAAGAGCCTGATTTCAGTGGATGGAGGGGAGACTGGAGAGGTCAATTCCAAAGAAGTGTGAACAACTCCCTAGGAATATTTTCTGCATAGAGTAACAGAAGAATGGGAAGTAGCTGTCATACCACAAGTCTCAGAAAAATGAACAGTGAAGTCAAAGCATGAGAGTGGAATGCCTGCAGCATAGGAGGACAACACAGGCTTCCGCAAAGACAAATCAATGGAATTTTTCTCCCTAGGTACAGATTTCAATGGGACATGCACAGTGAGAAATTCTAGTACCAACCATTTTTTCCAAGGTAAAGGTACCACTGAATGTGCTATGGGTCTACACACATGGTATATATGCAAAAAATGATAATTTTCATGAGGACGTTTTCTTTACAATACTCTAAATTAGCTAAGTTGTGTTTTCTTTTCTTCTCCGTTTTCCTTCCTCCCTCCCTCTTTCTTCCTTTGGTCTTTTCTTTCTTCCTTAAATCTTGAGCATATCCATCTACAATTTAGTATAGAAGTATGCAAATATAATGCGAATATGAATTATCAACCTTAGTGTATTCTGTTTCAAAGACATTAATGTATTCTAAGTGTCAGGGTTTGTGGAACACAGAGAATACTGTGCAGAATTATGAGGTCTATAAAATATTTCAACTTGATCTTCTCAGGTAAAGGTGAGAAAACACAAATTGCTGTCATTAATTTGATTGTATCTTCTGACATTCTTAATTGCCTTTTGGAAAGTTGAACTAAATATCATTGATGTCATAAAAGTTTTTTGTTTATTAAAAATAATTTAAAAATTGGAGTTCAAAAGTAAACCTCTATTAAAGGGAGACAAATAATGTCATTAGTACTCAATGAGAAAAGAAGCTAAAAAATAATTATAGAAAAGGAGCACAAATTTTCATTAGTTTGCATTCTGCCTTTGATAGCTGTTCTCCAATGACTGCTTGCAATTCAGTCTCAGATGCATGTCCTATTTTTGCATTCCATCTACCTCCAGTTTCTTTCTTGTTTACCGACAGAGGCATGAACATATTTTTTCTTTCCAGATAATTGAGGCTTCAGTGATTCTGATAAAGTATGCTGTCTTTATATGCAAAATTTAGAAATAATTTTAAAAACTTGAACAGAAGGCTAAAAAATAGGGAAAAAAATAGAGGCTAACTTGATGAGAAAGCATGTAATTAAATCTTGTGAAATATAACTTCTATACAGAAGAATGCAAATAGAGCATAATGAATATTATAAACACTTTTGTTGACAAGAAAATAATGTGAATACCTCACATTTTCTGCTGTATTGTCTTTCCGATCTCATATTTCTTTGCCCCTAAAAGTGACCATAACCCTGAATACTACAAACACTTCCTTGTTATAAAGACACTTTTGCCGCCTACATATTCATCTCTAAAATACACAGCTTAATTTTGTCTGTTGTAAACCTTCATATAAATGGGTTCATACTGACCTCACACCAGTCAAATCGAGCATCTGAGGAAGAGCACTGTTGGCGTTCAGCGAGGAGGGAGGCGCCAGGAGAGCGCTGAGGCGCCAGGAGAGCGCTGAGGCGCCAGGAGAGCGCTGAGGCGCCAGGAGAGCGCTGAGGCGCCAGGAGAGCGCTGAGGCGCCAGGAGAGCGCTGAGGCGCCAGGAGAGCGCTGAGGCGCCAGGAGAGCGCTGAGGCGCCAGGAGAGCGCTGAGGCGCCAGGAGAGCGCTGAGGCGCCAGGAGAGCGCTGAGGCGCCAGGAGAGCGCTGAGGCGCCAGGAGAGCGCTGAGGCGCCAGGAGAGCGCTGAGGCGCCAGGAGAGCGCTGAGGCGCCAGGAGAGCGCTGAGGCGCCAGGAGAGCGCTGAGGCGCCAGGAGAGCGCTGAGGCGCCAGGAGAGCGCTGAGGCGCCAGGAGAGCGCTGAGGCGCCAGGAGAGCGCTGAGGCGCCAGGAGAGCGCTGAGGCGCCAGGAGAGCGCTGAGGCGCCAGGAGAGCGCTGAGGCGTGGAGACTCGAGGTGGCGGCCGAGAGTAGGAAGCAAAACAACGGGACGGGACTGACTCGGGGCAACAACGACTACCCATTGTGGGGAAAGGTAAGTGAGAAGTCCCATGCAGTCCACGCTCCCACCAGGGACATCTACAAGTTGGCTGCAGGAGTGCCTCTTGGCCCTCACAGTCTACGAGCCCAGAGCAGGGAGATGCCAGCCTCGTTCCAGAGGGAACCGTCTCTGTTCCTCTCCACCCCCAGCGCAGTGCCATCTGGCGGTGGGGGTCCGCATCACTGCATCTGGCCCCGGGGCCCCACAGCCCCTGCCTCTCCACATCCCGGGCCGGACAGCATCCTCCTGAGTCCACTCAACCCTGAACCTATGAAACTGCTAGAAGTAAACAGGGGAAACACGTTAGGACGTTGTTTCTGGACAAATATTTTATGGGTGAGACTTCAAAAACACAGGCAACACAAACAAATAGAAATAGGGACTATATTAAGCTAAGTAGCTTCTACACCGCAAAAGAAACAATCAACAGAATAAAGAGAAAACCTGCAGAATGGGAGAACATATCTGCAAACTGTTCACTGCCGTGGGGCTAACATCCAGAATATGTAAGGGACCCAACAACTCCACAGCAGAACAGTAATTCTGTTAAAAATGGGCAAATAATTGGTATAAATATCTCTCAAGAGAAGATATAGAAATGGCCAACAAACATGAAAAAATGCTGAATATCACTAATCAGGTAAATTAAAATTAAAACCACAATGAGATATAATCTCACTCAGAATGGCTATTATCAAACACACACACACAGACACACACAGAGATAAAGGCTTGTGGAGATGTGGAGAAAAGGGAACTCTTATACAATGTTGGTGGGAATGTAAATTAGTACAGCCATTGTGAAAACAGTATGGAGGTTGCTCAAAAAACTGAAATTACATCTACCGTGTGATCCAGCAATACCACTGCTGGGTAATTATCCAAAGAAAGATATATCAGCATATCAAAAATAATATCTTCTTCCCCATGTTTATTACAACAGTATTCACAATAACCAAGATATACAGTCAACCTCAACACCCACCAATATGTGAATGGAGAAAGAAAATGTAGTATATATTCACAATGGAACACTATTCACCCATAAAACGAAATGAAATTCTGTCATTTATGGCAACAATGATAAGCCTGGAGGATGCTGGGTTAAATGGAATGAGCCAGACACAGAAAGATAAATACTACTTTTTCACTCATATGTTGGAGATTTCAAAAAAAAGGTGGAGCTCATGGATATAGAAAGTAAAATTTTGGTCATTAGAAGCTAGAAGGGGTAGGGTTGAGGGGAGGTTAGAGAGTAGTTTGTTAACGGATACAAAATTACAGCTAGACCGAAACAATAAGTGCTAGTGTGCTATAGTCCTGTAGGATAACCATAGTTAAAAGTAACTAATTGTGAGTTTTCAATTAGCTAGAAGAGACGATTTTGAGTATTCCCAGTCCAAGGAAATGATAAGTATTTGGTGCGATGTATATACTAATCATCCTGGTTTGATTTTTACACATTGTATGCATTTATGACAACCTTACTCTGAATCCCATGCATTATGTGCAATTATTACATCTCAACTAAAAAATAAAAGAAAAAATAAAGGAGATGCCATAGGTGCAGGGGAAAAATGAAAAGGAAATATGAAAAAAATCACCACTTTATATCAGTTTATAAAACGATTCAAAGAAGCATTGTCTTTGCAAAATACAGATTTTATATGAAATGATAATAGAGAAATGAAGACTCAAACAGTACTGAAGTATCACCCCATAATACCTAGGCCTCAAATTATATTTACAAAGGAACATAAATAGTGTGAAACCAGCAGAGTCAGAAGTGATATTCACACACAGCGGACTCTGCAGAGAAAGAGGCACTTGGGACAGGGATCATCCCAGCTGTGAAAGAACAAATACAAAATTCCCCAGAGAGAGAGCTGCGATAAAGCGAAAAGTGCAGTGTAGAGCTCTGGAAAGTGATAGATGCATCACCAGATGCTGAGGAATCTAATGGACCATTAAGTCAAAAGAAGAAGAGAAGAAGCACAGTGATCTTTGAATCTCCTTCTTTGAGGGTATAGTGGAGTATGGGTTATTTTCTTATCAAAATAAATTCCTCAAATTGTGTTTATTGCGTGACAACACTGTACATGTACTAAAATAATATCATGTATACCAACATTACCAGATTAGGCACTCAACCCACCCTTCCCAACTCAGAGGAGAGCAGCACCCAGAGAAAAAATAGAACATATGTAACGTTACATCTCAGCAGTGCAGAATTCCTTCAGCAATATTTGAAACCGTAAATTGAGGCTTCTTTAAGGTAATTTTCTGAGTGATTCTTTTGCTAACCGAGCAAGAAAAGCAGTTTTCCCGCATTGAATTAGTTATACCATATTTGTGACAGCTGAAGAAATATATTCAAATAGCCTCTTTTAAGACTATTATTAGTCCTTTAGTGTAAATAGTTGTTTTGATGGGTTTGATAACTTGAGAGCATTGGAAGTACTATGATGAGTCAAATAAGACACCTGATTTAAAGGGACCTTTCCTGGCCGTTTATGACTCCATGAATGTTACCAATATTGCTCAGTGTATTCCGGGAGTCTGTGCCAAGGTTGAAGTAACTGAATAGCTGCACATACCACTACAGTTGAAAACATGTGTAAAGAGGTTGAGAAATTCAGGATAATGTGAAGTGGACTCTGCTAAGATGTGTCCCAAATGATGGTGTTGAAAATATACATAGAGCAGAGAAATTCTTAGACAAATATATAAAGTTTGTGAAAATGCGAAGTGTTCAACATTTATGACTTATTAATTGTATTGACTTATCAGCACGTATTTGCCAGAAAATATTTGAACTTATCATGCATTACTAAACCAGTGCAGTCAGCCCTGTCTATCAATATTTGTTAGAAAGAAAAGCTAAATATTCCAACTTGTGCTACTGCACACAGGAATTGGATGGCTAGGTAAAAGCCATTTCAGAAAAAGACTATTCAAAGACATTAAATATATTTACAGGAAAAATATAAAACTACAGAAAAGTACAGCTGTTAGAGTAGGCAGACAGCCAGACATAAGCAGGAGATGGGGATCCCTGAGAAAAAGAGGTCTGGAAAATCTCTCACCCCGGGGACCACCCGAAACCTGCATGCTGGGTATATGCAGAGAGTGGGGGAAATACCTAGGCAGGAAGGAACGCCCCTTAAGATGCCCAGCAATTGCTCACTCTGCAGTTAACCTGTTGGAATGCAGCTGGGTGTCAGTTGATAAGGGGAAGAGGGCAAGGAAGAAATTCCTAGGCAGTAACACAGGCACCGTTTGTATACAACACTGGGCCTGTGCACGTGCAGCAACTAATAGTAAGGGAGGGTCCCACAAACCTGGGGAGGAAACTCGGTAGGGAGAAGGGGGGTACTTAAGGCAGGAGTGGAAACACTAGTCAAAGAAAAAAGGAGGGGACTGAAGGCAGAGGCGAGAACTTCAAGAGACCATTTTTCATCATAAAATCCCAACACAGAACTCAGGCTGCTGTGGGCTCACTCCCCTCAGCAGCCAGTTCTGCCTCTTCTTTTCAGCATGCACTGTCTCTCTCAGTAAATTCTCTGCTGTCTATTTTCCTTTAATTTTTTAAAAAATTTTTTTGACAAACCAGTCACTTGGCAGAATTCTTTCTCCAAGAATAAGAACTGATGATTCCTGCACTTTCCTGTAACACGACAAGGGGAGAAAAACAGTATGAGCATCTTAAATGGCATTCCAGTTTAGAAATTACACAACTGAGCCAAGGGTAGTGGCATCCCAGCTACTCAGGAGGCTGAGGCAGGAGGATTTCCAGAGGCCAAGGGTTTGAGGCTGTAGTGGGTTATGAGTGCACCACTGCAGTCTAGCTTGGGCAACAGAGCAAGATGCCCTTTCTAAAAACTAAATGAATAAATAAACAAGCAAAAGGAAGGAAGGGAGGGAGGGAGGGAGGGATCATAGCAAAAAAATGTTAGAAAGAAAAAGAAGAAATAGAGTATTTGATATTTATTTTAGGAATAATTTGGAGAAAAATGAAGTTAGTAAATAGATTAATAGAAAACTAAGGAAGAAAAAAACTAAGGATATCATAAACATATAAAAATGTACATAAAGACAAAAAAATATAAATAGTCTTAAATTTGGGGGATATATATTGCTGTGTAAGAAACCATCCCAAATCATTGTGGCTTAAAACAACATGCATTTTATCTGGTCAAAGCTGTTAAAGGCTTAGCCATGTTTTCAGGGGAAGAAACATGAACTTTAACTACTGGTGAGGGGAGAGATCCTCGTACCAGGAGAATTGCATGGAGATCATATCTGGAAACCTCCTACCGCCCAAGACAGAACCATAAATCCAAATGAGCAAGCAAAGAAAATAAACCACATAGGATGCAGACAAACAACAGAAACAACAGCAATGTAGCAAATACATGTAAGTGTGTAGCCTGTGTCCAGTGTGTAGCATAATGGGCACAGTAAATACACATGAATTTGTAGCTGAATATGTAGCCTGTCTCCAATCATGAAGAAACAATTAGAGATTTCGAAAAATCCAGTTGTGACACAGACCAAAAGATGACCTGGTCTTTAAAAAAATAAAAATAAGCCTATGTTGTGAAAGACAGAAGAGGGAGAAAAGGGATACTGGTTCAGACAGCACTGACGGAAGAGACCTGTCAACCAAATGCTCTGGGGGAGACACTGATAATGAACAGTGATTCTTATAGTCATTTGGGAAATTTGAATTAGGATTTTATTTTAAATATTAATATTTTATCAATGAATTATTGGCTATGATTACAAAATGTTGACGTATAGGATATCAAATGATCCTAAGTGAACAGGGAATAAGACAAGGAAGAACAATATTGTATCTACAAAATTTACTACTTCAGAAATAAATCCTAAGTGAAACATAGAATCTTTCTATTTGACTATTTCCTCAAACTATTTTTCCCTGGACAGCAGGCAGGCATCTGCAAATAAGAAATTGAAAGGGAAGCTTCATTAAACACCCAATGAGATTCACCAGGACTCCTGAAGCTCTGTTTTGTGTCATTGTTAGCAGATCCGTGGTTTTCTCAGAAGCTCTGCTCTGACCTGATGAGAGTCCAGGTTGTGGGGAGGGGGTAAAGCAATTGACTCCCTGTAGTAACACTGAGACAGGAGACTTCTCTTGACCCCTTCATGGGACTTGTTATGGGGTGGCTCCTTTGTTTGGCCACCATGCTGAAACCCTTTGCAGGAGGGGGAGCACGCAGGTGAGCGGGTGCAGAAACCAGGGTGAGTGCCTTTGCACACCAGCAGGAATGAAACCTGTATCAGCTTGTGGCAGCATCTAAGAGTTGCCCGGGACCTATGGAGCCCCAGACGGTGTGTTACAAACAATACTTTTTTAACTTTGTCATCTGTGGATGGCTTAAGTGTTAAACAGCTCAGTGAAGAGTCAGTGTGACAACGTTTTTGGGTTCCCACACCCAGTGCATCCCAAATTCTTGTCTGACATCCAGGAAGAATCAGGTCACACAAACAGACTGAGGGTGGTATATGTGGAGGGTTTTATTGAGTGACGGAAGTGGCTCTCAGCAGGATGGGGAGCTGGAAAGGGGATGGAGTGGAAAGATAATCTTCCCCTGAAGTTTGGCCATCCCCCGCCAAACTCCTCTCTTACCATCCCCAGCCAAATTCCTCTCTGACCATCCCCAGCCAAACTCCTCTGTGACTGTCCCCAGCTGAACTCCTCTCTGACCTTCCCCAGATGAGAAATTCTCTCGACCGTCTCTGGCTGAACTCCACTCTGACCATAGTTTCTGACATCCAGCTGCCTCTTCTCTCAACATTCAGATGCATCTTCTCTTCTCTCCTTTTCTGTTGCCCCCCTCTGCTCTTTTCCCAGTGAAATTTGGGGTTTTTATGGGTACAGGGTTGGGAGTGAGGTAGGCCGGGATGGTTTTGGAAAAGGCGACACTTGGGTAGGAAAACAGGAATGCGTGTTCTCATTTAGAGCTGTGGGTCTGGGCTTGAGGGTGGTACCCTTGTCAGGGACCCACCTGTCTTCTACTGAGTATTTCGCTTCCTCCTGTCCATATCACTGAGAAACCAAGCAATGCAAATATGTGGCACCTTCTAGCATATAGAGAAACCCTCTGGATGGCAACTGATAGGACCAGGGGCCAGGCCTAGCAAAGGGCAGAGCTGATGAAAAGCAAGACAGTCCAAGAATTAATCCTGCATGTCTTAACATAAAAGATTCTTAGTTTGTTTTTAATTTTAATTGAATATATAATGAACGAATTCGGTCTACTCCGCAAAGTCAGGGGAAAAAGCATATTCACCAAATTTTAGAATGTTATTCCATCTGTCCGCATTGACTACTCACACTTTCTCTTTTCTTTTCCCCCTTTTAACTTATTAGAGTTATTGTAAGGACAAAACTAACAGCAAAATATTTATAAATCATAAGACATCATTTATTTTGAAATACTTTTCTTGTTCTACTTCTGTATTCTTCCCTGTTTCATTTTCTGTTTATCCCTCTCTCATTCCTCTTTTAAGCACAGATAAAAGATGTGTTTCCATATCTTAAAAGATACTGCCCCAAGAGATTAATTAACATACAGAGAAATCATTAACATGCAAATTAACCTACTAAATGCCAGGTTTTCTCATGAAAGAAGCCCGGAGCAGACAGTTGCTCACCAGCAACCTGTGGCCTCAGGGAAACGTGGCAATGACTGTATTCCCCAAAAGAATGCTGGCATGTGATTTATATCTGGCAAGCAGGATACAGAGAGTTTCTCACTGGAAGATATTGTTCCCACTTTTATTGTTGCAGTTTTGCTAAAACAAAGAAATCTGTGTTAAGATGACTGCAGCTGTGTTAGAAACAAGTGTAATATATGTTGAAATGTATTTATTTTTCCAACTCGTACCAACAGAAACTCAATTATTCTTCAGTCTGGAAGATCTGCTAAGTTTTCTTAACCTATCATGTCATGACATCTGTGATGAAGGCATGCGCTGTGTTGACTGTGCCACAGAAAAACTCTGATGTCGAGCTGCATTTTATTTAAATCATTATTTTATTATTGATAAATGTAAAAGGAAAATAAAATCTCAGGACTCCAAATTCACTATGCCAGAAGGTAAAAGTTAAGTTGGAAGCTGAGTCATGAAAAAACCCAAAAAACTGCCTTTCCTTTAGTTTGATTCTTTTTTAAAAAAGACTTTAAGGACTTTAATTCTTTTTCTTTAGCTGTGGTAACAACAGTTAACATGAGCTCTATCCTCTTCAGTGTTTAAGTGCTATCCATTGTTGTTGATTATTCGTACAATGCCATACAGAAAATCTTAAGAGCTTATTTATCTTACTTGGATAAAACTTTATGCCTCTTAATTGGCAACTCCCCATCTTCCTCTCCCCTGTAATCTCTGCCCCCTAGTCTCTGCGAACCACTCATTGATTCTATGAATTTGAGTATTGTAGTTCTCTCCTATAAATGGAATCATGCAGTATTTGTCTTTCTGAGACCGCTTTAGTTCACTTAGAATAATATCCCCAATATTTAAGCATGTTGTTACAGATCATAAATTTCCTTCTGTTTTTCAGGCTGAATAGTATTTTATTGTATATATGAAATGGGAACATTATCTGACCACCCTTGCAGGGCATGCGACAAGGTTGTGGCTCATCTGTCCGGCCAGTGACGCTTAAACCCCCTATGGGAGGGGGAGCATGAGGACAGGCAGGTGCAGGAGCTTTGGTGAGCGCTTTTGAGCTCTGTCCCCACGGTAGCATCTAGGGGTGGGTGCCTGCAACTCCCAAAGCCCCAGTGTGCATGCTACAGTGCTCTTTTGAGCTCTGTCCCCATGGTAGCATCTAGGAGTGGGTGCCTGTGACTCCCAAAGCCCCAGTGTGCATGCTACAGTGCTCTTTTAAGCTTCGTCCCCATGGTAGCATCTAGGGGTGGGTGCCTGCAACTCCTGAAGCCCCAGTGGGCATGCTACAATGTTCTTTTCAGCTCTGCTGTCTGCAGACAGCTTAAGTGTTTCAGCTCAGTGCCCTCTTAATACCCAGGTTCTTTTCTGGCATCCAGGAAGAATCAGGTCACACACGGACTTGAAGGATGGTGAATGTGGGGATTTTGTTGGGCGATGGAGATGGCTCTCAACAGGGTGAGTGAGGAGCTGGAAAGGGGATGAAGTAGGAAGATGTTCTTGCCCTGGAATTTGGTTGTCCCACGGCCAATATTCTCTTTGACCATTTTCAGCAGATCTCCTCTCGACATTCATACACTCCTTCTCGGCCACTCTTCTGCTCCTCTCTGTTCTGTTTGTCTGCTTATATGCTTGTGGAGTGTGGGGTTTGTGGTTTATATGGGTACAGGATAGGGTGATGTGGTTGGCCACAAGGCAACATTTGGGTGTGAAAACAGGAATGCCTATTCCCATGTAAGGCCATGGATTTCTAGGCTTGGGGGTAGAGCCTTTGCTGGGGAACTGCCCTCTTCTACCCAAGATTTCCTTGTCTCCTATCCATATCGTTTCTACCATAGTTTGTTTATTCATTCATCTTTCAATAGACATTTAAGTAGTTTCTTCATCTTGGTTACTGTAAATAGTGCTGGAAAACTAATAACCCTATAGAGAAAATGGAACTTGAATAGACATTTCTCCAAAGACATGCAATTGGCAAACAGGTATATTTTTTTAAATATTCAGTGTCACTGCTAATCAGGAAAATGCAAAGAAAAACCACAGTGAGATACCACCCATACCTGTCAGGATGGCTATCAACAACAACAACAAAAACAACAACAACACACATGCACTTATGAAAGAGAGCAGGTTTTGGTAAAGATGAGAAGACATTGGAGGGACACCTGCACACTGTTGGTGGGAATGCAAAGCAAACAAACTGCTATGGGAAACAGTTGGAACAGTACTCCCAACACTACAAACAGAAGTGCCATGTGATTCGGTTATTCCACTTCTGGGTATTTATCCAAAATTATTGAAATTCAGGATCTTGATACTAGAAAGACTTTAAGGCAGTGATTATAAATATGTTCAAGGCTTTCATAGGAAATATAAACATGCTGAAGAGAGAAATAGAAGATACAATACTGTAATAGAATTTCTAGAGATGAAACAATGAAATATCTGAGTTATTTCACTTACTAGGATTCATAGCAGTTTATAAAATGCAAAAGAAAAAATCAGTGAAATTTTAGAACATTAGAAACTATCCACACAGAAACAGAACTTAGACCCCAAATATGCGAGGAATAATTGTATTATAATAATTTAGAATATCCCCCAAAATCTGTAATAGATTTTAAAACAGAAAGAAACAATAATTTAGAATATCCCTCAAAATCTGTAATTGATTTTAGAAAAGAAAGGAACAGAAAAAAGATTTTAGACACAGAAAGAACAGAAAGTGGGATTATGCTCAATATCATTAAGAATGTGAAAGGAAAATGAATCTTGGGACCCCGAACTCACTGAGCCAAAGGGAAAAGTCAAACTAGCAACTGCATCATGAAAATCTGCTTCCCATTTTATTCCTAAATAAGACAGCTACAAAAATAAAAAAGCTACATACCTCCCCCACAATTTTCCCACTAAGAAATCCCTTGTGGGCCCCAAGATTCTTACCCTAAAACAGTCCTGTTGAATTTCACCCTGGCAAGAAAAATTGACACCTTATCTTCAGAGGTATGACACAAAGGATGAGACTCAAAGTCATATTTCTGCTCACTTGAGACAAGGCATATTTGATTGCTTCCCCTGACCTACGTTTATTTCATTTTATGTAAAAATGCAGATTCAGTGAGCTAGATGAATACATAATTGACTATTCCTCTACCACCTCTCACATGTGAATGGCTGATCAAAGACTCAAAGGAATGAAACTCTTTGCCTCTTACCTACCCACACCTTTTAAAATGTCTTCCTCTTTCCCCAATATCTCTCCTTTCTTCTTTAAATGTTGAAGCCTTCAAAATCATCTTTAGAGAAAGGTACCTTTCTCTAAAATTGGGATGTGTCTCCCACACTCACATACTCATCCTTGGCAAAATGAACTTCTGCATTGACTGAGACCTGTCTCAGATACTTTGAATTAGTATCTGTCTCAGATACTAGGTAAATGCAAATTAAAGCTACATCAGGATGCTACTACATACAATTACAGTGGCTGAAATTTAAAAGATAGAAAATCCCCACTGGTGGTGACCATGTGGATCAGTGAGAGGACTCATCCATTGCTGGTGGGAATGGAACATGGTTAAGGGTCTTACAGAAAATTTTAATTAATTTCTATAAAAAATTAAATATATACCATGTGACACAGCCATTCCATTCTTGGGGAACAGATGGAATTTTTAAATATTATGCATATTGTCTAAAGTTCACTTAGGCTTTCTAAAACACTGGAGTTAACATCTTTAATATTGTATTTTGTGAAAGGAATCCCTAAATGAGAGTCCACTTCTGGTCAGAGTGTTGTGAGGGTTCAGTTGATTCCCCTTTGAAGAAAACAAGTATAATCTTAGACAAAATTATCAAAACAACTATATTTATTCTCTGAACATTTACCATATCCACAGAATCAGACACCAGTGAAACAATGTCCACAAATTAGAAAGCATTAATCTTTAAAAAAAAAAAAAAAAAAAAAAACAGAAAAACCAAAACAGTTATAATTTTGGGCAAGGACATCAGTGAGCAGATGGCTTTCTTGACCACCGTGGTCAAAGCTTTCTCTGATTGGGGTTGGATGGAATCACAAGCAACTTTGAAGAATTGCTAGAGATTGCTCAGCTCACTGAGTCAGGACAAAGGTCGTTCGTAAAATCATAGATTGTTGGCTAAAACTAGCAGATTTGGTACTGAACCGATGGCGGAAATCACACAGCTTTCTTAGCCCAAGTTTGCAGACTAGGTTCTGGGTAAGCGGCGGCGCAGCCGCAGTCTTAATGGGAAGATTCTAGAAGTAAGAGAACCATGGAAGGGCTGAGATATGCTGCCCACCCCTTCTGCCTGTCTGCCACACTACACTATGCAAGTGTGGGGAGACCCAAGGCATTCTGATAAATGAAAGCCAACACAGACTTAAAAACTGTATGCAAATTCAAATGTGTTTCTCAACCCGTGAACAACTCAACTGGAAGGTTAGAAGCCTTACAAAATAAAATATCTGATTGCAACCCCTGTCCAAATCACTGGAACTGATCATCAAAATCTACAGAGATAGAAACAACCCCAAGGACCTAAGGAAAAAAGGAAAACAAAAAAGGGAGCATAACACATCAACAGTTGAGCTTCGTAGAAGAGATGAGGTTTTCCAGGGAAGCTTCCTAAAAATAGTCCAACAGCCCTGAGGAAAAAAAAAAAAAAAAAAAAAACTATGTCTTCTACTTTCTTTTTTTTTTTTATCTTGAATGTCAGTTTTCAACCAAAAATTACAAAATACACAGACTCAGGGAAGTGTGAGCCACATTGGAAAAAAAAAAATTTTAAAAAGATAGTATGAACTGACTGGGTAGGACCAGCTGTCGAATGTAGCATAAAAAGAACAGCGGTTGTACATACATTCAGCACATTGTCCTTTCATAAAAGCCAGTGCTCCTCTGCAAGGAGACAGTCTGTCTGTTTTACAAAGGTGTGTGCCATACAAATTTTCTTGAAGACGGTGCAGAACAAAAGGCTGTCTGTGCTTGTGCTGTGTAGACGTGCATGACAGCCATGGGTCATTGTTTTCGGACAGACCTAGCAGGCAAATCTTAAACACTACAATTGTGCCTTTACTTACATTTTCATTGGATTGCCGTCCGCTCCATATTTGTAGAATCTCATGACGAGGATGGTAAAATTTTAGTTCCTTCCCATTAATATGTATCCCTCGAAAAGTAGGAAGCTCAGTAGAGGCCTTATCCTAGACCTGCCACTTTAGAATCTCTTCAGGGAAGCCCTGGAGGTTGCATTTAATTAGCAACCACTTGATAACACAGCAAAATTTCGGAATCTGCCTACAGAATCCAACAGAAACTTGGAAACCCGACGTGTGAAAGCCTTGTTGCACTCACTACCCCTTACATCCCTCTCAGTCTTTCCTGTTCTCACACCCTGCAATCCCACCGTATCAAACTGCACGCAGCTGCCAGTACTCACCATGTTTCTATATGGTTATGCCTTTGAGAGTAAATGGAAAATAGCCCCCATTTGAGATGATTGGTTTGATTCTAAGTTGTTCACAGATGGAAATACTGGGTTTCCTACTCATCAATGAGGAATTAAGCTCTAATTCTAAAATGTGATTTAATTTCTTATTCCCATAGAAATATAGGATTTTTGCATTTTATACATAGTGGCTGGAGTTATAAATCCTAACTGATATGTTACTTGTTCTAGGCCAATATAACTAACATGTCTTTGAGAGTAAAAATAAAATGTATAACCTTGACTTTTTCTAACAAAGAAAAGGAGGGTGATTTATAAACCAGAAAGGTCATAGTCAAAGCATAATGTCTTATCTCTAGTCTGATAACAAGTTTTAGTTCAATTCAAATACCCATTTGCTCAAAATTTTACCTAGCCATGTGTAGGTATTATGCAAAGCAAAAGAATGATGAATTTGTATTGAATATTCTGTGTATATCCTAATATTTCTTATGTCAGCTGTAAAATAAATTTTTCTAGTTCTGTAGATTCTGAAGCTATAGTCAGATAGGTGTGGGTATAGACCTCCTGGATCTGTTTCTCTGAAGAATTCTGATTAACGCAATCAGTCTGTAGGTCTGTAGAACAGGCAGACATGTATCTGCAATAGTTAAGTACTGTGCTACTTAGACAAAAAAAATTTAAAAAAATAAAATTACAAAAGACTTTTAAAACGGAAAAGGTCCCTGACCACATCCCAAGCATCATCAATTAAGGCATTATTAACTATATGTTATAGGGAACCACCTTGTATAAGAGAGAAAGTAGGCAGGGCGCAGTAACTCACGCCTATAATCCCAGCAGTTTGGGAGGCCGAGGCAGGTGGATCACCTGAGGTCAGAAGTTCGAGACCAGCCTGGCCAACATGGTGAAAACCCGTCTCTACTGAAAATACAAAAGATTAGACAGGGATGGTGGCATGCGCCTGTAATCTCAGCTACTTGACAGGCTGAGGCAGGAGAATCGCTTGAACCCGGGATGTGGAGGTTGCAGTGAGATGAGATGGTGTCATTGCACTCCAGCCTGGGCGACAAGAGCGAAACTCAGTCTAAAAAAAAAAAAAAAAAAAGAGAGAGAGAGAACTGGAACTTGTGTCCTCTGCCTCTCAGTATAAATCTCCTCTTTCTAAATTGAGATGTTCTTTGTTTCTGGGAATAATGGTTTTTCCAAAAGGAACAAAAATGCGAGCCTGGTAGAAACTAACCATGATGATTCTCTTTTGGTTGCAATAATATGTGGGACTTTCACTTTCCATATAATAGAACTCTATGATAATTGCATTTTATAAGAACCATGTATAAAGCTGGAAAGGGAACTGAAAAAAGCATGTATTACTTTCATAAACATTTAAAACATAGAGACATCAAATATGAAAATCTGTTGTGATAAGAGAAATTGCCATTATGAAAATCAAACAATTTCTCTCTATTGTTTTAATTATCAAATTGGTTGACTTAGTTCATTTGTGCTGTTATAACAAGACATTTGCAACGGACTAAGTCACTTATAAACAGACATTTCTAGATCACAGTTCTGGAGGCTGGAGGTCCGAGGTCAAGTTTCCAGCAGATTTGGTGTCTGGTGAAGGCCTCGTCTTTGCTTCATAGATGGTGCTTCTCATTTTATCCTCACATGGCAGAAGGGGCAGAAGGAAGGACCAGGCAGCTCTGGGAAGATCATTTTATAAGGTCTTTTAATCCTATTCGGGAGGGTGGCGCCCTCAGGACATAACCACTTTTCCAAAGCTCCCACATCTTAATACTACAGCATGGGGCATTCAGTTTCAACATGAATTTTAGAGGGACACAGACATTCAAACCCTAACCCTGTTTTTTGTTGATAGTTTGTTAAAATTTATTTCTATGTTTTGAAACTGAAGTATCTCATGTAATTGGCAACAGTCCTTGGAAGAGGGTTCAATAGTGAAAGGAGACCTTAGGAATCTGTTTCTTATTCACAGATTCTCCTGGATTGCAGCAGGGAACATTGCAACAGCAGCAGCACACTGTTTTGCAGTGAAAATTGATTTTCCTTGCTAAGTTCCCTTTCAATTAACTTCATTTCTTGTTTCTCACACAGTTAATATATTATTTTTCCCTCTATGCCTAAAAGATCTAAGAGATCTGAGAAACCCCACAGCTAACTCGTCACCACTACAACATGCAGCTTTCTTATATTGACCGCAATTTTAAATTCGACTGGACATACGGAGTCAACTTACTAAAGGCTCCATATAATGTCTTGTTAGCACAATCTCATTGATAAAAATATCACACCTAAAATTTTTTAAAAGTTAAAATATAAAATAACCCATTTCATTTCTAATATTTATTTTTTAGCACTTATAGTCTCAGCCATTAGTAGGCATCAGAAAAGACAGCCCTGTTCCAAGTTTTCCTACCTTCTGATTTTCAACTTCATATCAATAAACAAAATAGTGAAATTCACCTAACTTTACCAATTACCATAGTGTACTGGTCTGTTTCCACGCTGCTGATAAAGACATACACGAGACGGGGCAATTTACAAAACAAAAAGGTTTAATTGAACTTACAGTTCCACATAGCTGGGGAAGGTCTCACAACCATGGTGAAGGGCAAAAGGCACTTCCTACATGGTGGCGGCAAGAGAGAAATGAGGAGGAAGCAAAGGGGGAAACCCCTTATTAACCCATCATACGTCATGAGACTTTTTCACTTTTAGGAGAATAGCACAGGAAAGACCAGCCCGATGATTCAATTACGGACCCCTGTGTCCCTCCCACAACACATGGGAATCCTGGGAGATACAATTCAAGTTGAGATTTGGGTGGGGACACAGACAAACCATATCAAATAGTGATGAGCAATTAATACATGTGGATTAAAAGTCTTTCTTCTCTAATTGATACTAAAGTTAAATGTTATTATGTGTTCTTTCTGGACTTTTCTATGAAAATGATAATGCATTTGTATATGACAATATACTTGCTTTTTAGTTTGAGTTTCTGTTTTCACACTAGGGATTAGATTAAGTAAATATACATTGATGAGCAAATACGTTTGATGTATAAAGATACTCTAAAATAAAATTAAAAGTATTGTCTTTGTCAATTATAAATATAAAACACAAAAGAAAAAATGTAGTTGTATTGCTTATAACCCAATAATTAGTTTTGGGTATAGAAGTCAACAGAAGTACAGTATGATAACTACAGGTATTTTGAAGGGGAGGACAGTTTAAGAGGGTAAAGAGGGCTGCACATTCTTTGTTACGTCTACAAACAGAAATGAAATCAAATTCTTCTTCCTTTGAATCTGGTCTTGGTCTTGCTGTGGGTTGCTTGACCAATTGAAGTGACACTCTGGGTCCTTCAAGCCTAATCCGTAAGAGGCCTTGCAGCTTCTGCCTGGCCTCCTGGAATCCTCTGTGGTGGGCTGTTCCTGCCTCCCAGCTATTCTTACCAAGGCACCAGACTTACAGCCATGTGGACCCTTCAGCCCAGCCAACCTGTCATTGGAGTAGGGCTGGGAGACTCCTCTCGCCCCCAGTGCAAAGTGGAACACCCAGTGCCCAGGATGATGTCATGAAGCAATGAGTTTAACCACTGCACTCAGCCAGTGCTGGGCTGAGTAAGGGTCCCCCAAAGACACCGATATCCAACTCCCTGGACCCGAGACTGTGTTAATGATATAGGAGTTCAAAAGAAATTATTTAGGCAGGTAGTGAGGGTAAGGAAATCCTCGGTAAGGTTTTCCTGTTAATGAAAGGCAGCCTCCAAATCATTTCTTTTCTAACAAAAGCAGCCTGTAAAATCAAGTTGTAGACATAAATAAGCAAACTGGAAGCTTGCAGGGGTGAATGCCGGCAGCTATGCCAGTGGGCAAGGGACTACCTGGGGGCTGGGCATGTTGAACATGGCAACTCCGTCTTCTTTGTCATGGAAGCAATGGGAAATCAATACACACTGTGACGGAAGAAGTTGCAACTCTTTGGAAATCTAAAACACGTAAAATGATAAAGGCTATAAAACATCCATTAATTGTGTTTTTACTGTTTGTTGATACACTCTGGACTGAATTGTTTCTCTTTAAAATACATATATCGAAATTTTCATCCCCAGTCTGACTGGTTTTGGAGATCGGGCTTTAGGAGGATAATGAAGGTCAAGGGGGGTAATAAGAGTGGAGTCCTAATCCTACAGGCTTGGTGGCCTTCTAAGAAGAGAGACAGACATTTTTCTCCCTCTTCTAGTGCATACACTGAGAAAAGGCCATGTGAGGCCACAGCAAGAAGGCAGCCACCTGCAAGCCGCGGAAGGTGGTCTCACCAGGAACCAAATCAGATGGAAACTTGGTCTTGGACCATAAACATCTGTTGTTGAAGCCTCCCCCTCTGTGGTACTTAGTCACAGCAACTCGAGTAGGCAAATGCATGAAAATGGTTGCAGTTTTACTGACTGAAGCAGTTAATATTTGTCAGCAGCTTCCAGAGAGGTAGGATAACCTGGTAATTATGAGGGAGGCTCTGGACTGCCTGAGTTTGAGTCCAGGAATCCCTATTTACTGTAAGTGACTATGGGCAAGAAACTGAATGTCTGTATTTCAGTTTCTTCATCTGTAAAATGGGATTCATAACAGTGTGGGGATTTGTGATGACCACAAATATAACACATGGAAGCCTTAGGTTACTAGCTGGCATGCACTAACAGATTCCTATTATCACATTTCAGTTCACTGAAGCAATAAAATGTTTGTATTTTTAAGTGAAAATAGGATGGCATGGTGGTAAAAACAAAGGACTAAGATACAGAAAACTTAAATTCAAATTGTTTTGAACTTGAGTAAATTACAATCTCTGTAAATTTTGTCCTTTTCCACCCTTATAAATGAGGGCATTGAAATTTAAATATCACGAGATCATTGAGAGGATACAATGAAATGATGAGATCTGTGACTGCATCTAGAACTAAGAAGCACTACAGAAGTATAATTAATAGGTGTAATTTAATGAATGTGATTATTCGTATTATTGTTACATCTCAGGAAACAGAAAATACCATGCTCTTACATGTTTTCACATTTACTGTGTCATTTGGGAAACTTGACCCTTAAAAGCTCCCATCCCTGGGACTTTTATATAAAGTTTTCTTCTCCTTTCTGCCAAGCTCGCTTGGGTGGCGGTCACCCTGCCATTATCTCCCTGAAGCAGAAGGGGTTGAGGAGGAGCCACAGGGCTGTCCCTGGCAGTCTCACCAAAGCCCTGAGCTGTGCAGATAAACCAGTGTCTGCAGGTAGAGGGATGGAGAGAAAGCTTCCCTGCTGTCTACTCTGAAGGTTCTCTGCAAAGAACTAAGGGTAGACAGTTCAAAAAGAGGCAAGCAATAACAAACTTATTAACGTGTACAGGGCAAAGGAATTCCACAAATATGACGCTCAAAGAAGGTCTCGAATGTAGCTTCGATGTGCCACATGTGGGAAAACTTGGAGGCCTGTGCTGCGGACTGGTCTGCAGTGTCTCAGAGGGCAGTGTTCACACTCCCGACAGAAACACAAAACACCTTGATTTTCTGCCCCAAGTGCTGAAATTGCATGAAAAATTAATGAGCAATAATCAGAGTGTTGTATTTCACAGATTATCAACCACTCGTATACTCCTCCTAAATACCCTAGTTCTTCCTTTCTACCTCATTACATGTACTTTTATTTTATCCTGAACAAAACCCAAAACTTTACAAAATTGTTATTTCTCAAACAGAGACACTTAGGAAGATTAAGTGCAAAGCCTGGGGATCGCATGGTCAGGGTGAGATACAGTTGGAATATGAAACCCAATGTATTGACCCTTTCCTCCTTTATACTTTATCCCTATTTGCTGGTCTTTATCAATACTTTCAGTTTGAATGTGGTTAAACTGGAATCTACACTAAAGAATCTGGTGGATGGTGAGACGGCTCAGAATACACCAGCATTTGGATGTTCTGCAAGTAAAATGAGATATGTTTTATGTCATCATTGATGTTTTTCTACTAGTGGTGATTTATTTTGCTCTCATTCTGATGATAATTAATTTAGAAAAAGAAAAAGGGAAACAATTGTGAAGTCCTCAGTCTCTTCAGTACTTAAACTAAGCTCTGAGGCCCTCCCAGGACTGAGAGGATGGAGTGAAGGAGGCACTTAGCTTAGCTCAGGCACAAAATTTAGAGGGGAAAAAACTCAGTTATCAAGACAAATAATATTTAATGCAATTTTTTTTTTTGAGACGGAGTCTCGCTCTGTCGCCCAGGCTGGAGTGCAGGTGGCGCAGTCTCAGCTCACTGCAACCTCTGCCTCCCAGGTTCAAGTGATTCTCCCACCTTAGCCAACCAAGTAGCTGGGGTTACAAGCACCTGCCACCACGCCTGGCTAATTTTTGTTTTTTGAGTAGAGTCGGGGTTTCACCATGTTGGCCAGGCTGGTTTCGAGCTCCTTACCTCAGATGATCCGCCTGCCTTGGCCTCCCAAAGTGCTGGGATTACAGGCGTGAGCCACCATGCCTGGCCTCCCCATCAATTTTATCATTGACTCAGGAGTCTAGTAGTTCTTCATAATTCTGGAGATAGCTATGACCTCACTCTGTGTCATTATTTTATTTTATTTTATTTTTTGAGACACAATCTTGCTCTCTCACCCAGGTTGGAGTGCAGTGGCATGATCCTGGCTCACTGCAACCTCCACCTCCTGGATTCAAGTGATTCTCCTGCCTCAGCATCCTGAGTAGCTGGAATTACAGGCACCTGCCACCACACCTGGCTAATTTTTGTGTTTTTGGTAGAGATGGGGTTTGGCAATGTTGGCCAGGATGGTCTGGAATTCTTGACTTCAGGTGATCCACTCTCCTTGGGCTCCCAAACTGCTGGGATTACAGGCATGAGCCACCATGTCCGGCCCCAGTGCAGTATTTTAAAGTCTTAAAATTAATGCAAAAAATACATGATAAAAAAAATTCTAAGACTTTAAAGTCAGGATCAGTTTTCTACCAGAATAATGAACATAGACACATAAACCACAACCCATGAACCCACACAGTTTTGCCCCTTGCTTCCAGAAATTCAAGTAAGTACGTAGTACAACCAATTCAGCACACTCCTAAAGGACTTGAAAACACATTTAAGAACCACTGGCATAGAGCATTTGTGCCTTTAATTTGTTGGCTTTGAACTGTTTTGTAACATAAAATGAACTATACCTTAATTGTTTTAACTGAATGATTTTCTAATTAGATTTCACAAGGCAAAAAAAAAAAAAAAAAAAAAAAATGGGAGTTAGGTTTTAGCCCCCTGGGACATCTCATTCCTAGTAAACAGCAGGTAGCTTGTCTTCCCTGAGGGTAATAGGCTCTGAAAAAAAAAAAATCCATACTCTTCAAGATCGATGTCCGTGGAGATTTATGGATGGTAAAATGTGGGACGGGACAGCAGCCTCAGCAGCATCTCCCCCAGTCATATTTGGGTGCGTGTCTGTGATAATAGGAGTTAAGAAGAAAGCACTTAGACAGATAGGGTACAGAAGTCCCCTGTAAGGCTTTCTCTTTAAGGAAAAGCAGCCCTAAATCACCGTCTTAACAAAGAGCAGCCTGTAAGGCCAAGCTGCAGACATAGACAAGCCAACTGGGAGCTTGCACCGGTGAATGCTGGCAGGAAGCGGGGACTAGACATGTTCAAGGTGCCCTTCTCTTTGTCAACCACTCGTACAGTAAGAACCAAACAAGATGGCTTCCATCAACTGGAAAGCCTATTTGCATAATAAGATTAGGGTGGGGCCACCAGCCTCCCTAAGGCTATCTAGACATCATACCTGAAGGAACCAATCTGTGAGCCCTACGTAAATCAGACACCGCCTTCACAAACTGGACTGTAAAATTTGGACCGTCCACCACCGCTTGTTCCTTTCTGCTCAGGGACTTCTCTCTCTAGAGAGAGCTGTTTCTCATCCTCTTCTCTTCTGCCTATGAAACCTCCGCTCCTAAATTCCTTGTGTGTCTGTGTCCTAAATTTTCCTGGTGCATGACGGGGAACTCCAGGCTATATACCCCAGTCAACATAGCCATTTCATCTGCACATGTGTGTGTTTGTGTGTGTGTTTGTGTGTGGGGGGGAGAGAAGGAATGGGAAGGTGGAGAAGGAGGAGGACAAAGGGGAGAAGGAAACGGGAGTAGGAGGAGGAGGAAAAAGGGGAGGAAGAGGAGAAGGAGAAGAAGGGACAGAGATAGGCAGATAGATAGATAGAAAGAGAGATAGTTAGATGGAAAGATACATAGGCCGGGCGTGGAGGTTCATGCCTGCAGTCCCAGCACTTTGGGAGGCCAAGCTTGAGGCTGGGATTTCTATACCAGCCTGGGCAACAAAGTGAGACCCCATATCTATAAATAAATAAATAAATAAATAAATAAATAGAAAGGTAGATTGACAGATAAAAACTTTCAGGATATGTCATAGAGTATTTAATAGTAGTAGAATATTTCTTTTTCCTAAATCAGGAACATGTTTCCTACCTTTTCCATAACATTAAGTATGGGAGGAAAATTAAAGACAATATGAAACTAAGAGGGTGCAATGCTTGTCAGAGTAGAATAGGGGAATTCTAGTTGAAGGAAACAGGTATTCTTGACTGTAACAGAAATCTTGGAGGGCTGTTCCTCTGAAATATGCAAAGCATAATCTTAGGCCTACCTGTGTGTATTTCTTTGTTTTAGGAATCTCTGAGTTGAGAAGTATGGAGAAAACCTCAGATGGTTAAACTGGAATTTTTTTTTTTTTTTTTTTTTTGAGACGGAGTTTTGCTCCTCTTGCCCAGGCTGGAGTGCAATGGCACAATCTTGGCTCACCACAACCTCCACCTCCCGGGTTCTACTGATTCTCCTGCCTCAGCCTCCCAAGTAGCTGGGATTACAGGCATGCGCCTCCATGCTTGGCTAATTTTGTATTTATAGTATAGACAGGATTTCTCCACGTTGATCAGGCTGGTCTCGAACTTCCGACCTCAGGTGATCTGCTGGCCTTGGCCTCCCAAAGTGCTGGAATTACAGGCGTGAACCACTGCTCCCCGCCCTGGAATATTTTTAAACTGTTATTGTTTAAGAGAAGTAAACGTTGAAAGAAAGGAGACATTTGATTTTGACTAAAGAATGTTCTTGCTGAGAGAGACTAAGTAATACTGAAGTGCCACACACCATTTTCATTCCCATTAGTATTTAAATGATTTGATTACAAATGATAAGACTCCTAATTGGACTTTCAGAATAATAACTAAGCAAAACTGTTTTCCATTATTAAAATGAAACAAGAATAGGAAATTAATGAACGCAAAGTTGCTGAACAGTGTGGTCTGCTAAGGTAAAACCCAGCTTCCCTGGGAAAGAGGGCAGAGGAGGTGGCCAGCAGCCCACATTGGAGGGTGCCAGTGACAGAGAGCATTGCAGGAGGGAGCGGGTCCCTACAGGACAGGTCAAAAGCACGGGCGAGTTAAACACTGGGACAGAGCTGCTTCTTCAGAGCACTTCCTCCTAATAACGTATTTTCCATTTCAGTCTGTATTATACACATTTGTAGAGTTTTAATGGAGAGGATCTTCCCCATGTATCATTCAAACAAAATTGCTTCATACTATAAGGGTCATTTCAAAATTATTTCATGTGAAATTGCTACACATGCCCTACACTTAATCAGGTTGGGTTTTTTCCCCCTACTTCTCACTGGTCTCATTGATTTCATCTGCTACTTTTTTTTTTTTTTTTTTTTTTGAGATGGAGTTTCACTCGGCTATAGTGCAATGGTGCGATCTTGGCTCACTGCAACCTCCACCTCCCAGGTTCAAGCAATTCTCCTGCCTCAACCTCCCAAGTAGCTGGGATTACAGGCGCCCGCCACTATGCCTGGCTAATTTTTGTATTTTTAGTAGAGATGGGGTTTCACCATGTTGGCCAGGCTGGTCTCAAACTCCTGACCTCAGGTGATCCGCCCACCTCGGCCTCCCCAAGTGCTGGTTACAGGTGTGAGCCATCATGCCCAGCCTCATTTGCTACTTTAAAAGTTGCCTGTTACCCCTAGGAAAAGTGGATATCCCAAGGACAAGATCCATTTTCTCTTTTTATTCCTAATATCTAGTATCCTTTATAAACATTTTTAAATAAGAGAATAGATGAATTAACGCCATGATTTTGAAAGTATTTCTCCTTTGCCGTAATATTTCACTCAAATAAAATAGGAAGCACGTCCTTAAGATTTAACACAGAGATTTTTTTTTCCAAATCTACATTAAGTGCACAGATGAGGGCACAATTCACAAATGTAATTAATTCTGATAAGCTGCTGGTTACCCTAGAATTCAAATGACAGACTTCAGAGGAAAAACACTTATAGGGTAAAAAGAGAATAGCTCTATTAATTTCCAGTAAGTAATACACTTGCCTAGGCTGGATGAGGTGACTCAAACCTGAAATCTCAACTCTTCAGGGGCTGAGGCAGGAGGATCACCTGAGCACAGGATTTCAAGGCTGCAGTGAGCTGTGTTTGCACCACTGTACTCCAGCCTAGGCAACAGAGTGAGACCCTGTGTATTAGTCCATTCTCAGGCTGCTATGAAGAAATACCAGAGACTGAGTAATTTATAAAGAAAAGAGGTTTAATTGACTCAGATTTCCGCATGGCTGGGGAGGCCTCAGGAAACTTAAAATCATGGCAGAAGCCACCTCTTCACAGGGCAGGAAAAGAAGAGGGAAATCTCTGCCTTTATTTTCAACAGAGACAATTAAGACTCTGTAGCAATAAGATACCAAATTCCAACCTGACTGTGGTATAGCATCACAAGACAGCAGTTCCTGAAAGAAATAAAAATATTTTGCCCCAAAATATATCTTTAACAAATTTTGAAATGGCCCTGCAATGCTGTCTCTGTTGGGGAAAATTTACGTTCTGTAGAAAATCACCGTCCCTTTCCAGGTCTTTTTCTGATCCTGAAGAGGTGATCTGAGAGTCTAGTACCTTTTAAAGGTCTGAATAGAAAACATTTGACATCTATTGCCTCTATGGATGGTCACCTATGAGACTTCATCTACATAATAAGAACTGTGGTCTCCACAACACGTTATGTTAAACTAGACACTCCTTTCTATTCCAGATTCTTAGATACTAACTTAACTCATTCTACCAATTGCCAATCATAAAATCTTTGAATCCACCTCTGACCTGTAAGCCCCCACTTCAAGTTGTCTTGCCTACTCAGACCAAACCAGGGTATACCTTACATGTATTGATTGATGTTTTATGTCCCCCTAAAGTGTATAAAACCAAGCTGTAACTTGACCACCCTGGGCACATGTTCTCAGGACCTCTTAAGACTGTGCCTCAGGTCTTGGTCACTCATATTTGGCTCAGAATAAATGTCTATAAAATTTTTTAAGAGTTTGATTATTTTTATCAACAACACTAAGATAAAAACTATGTAATAAAGTACTTCAGCCTTGGTAAACCCTATTTCTAATGAGTCTTTTCTGTCTTCAAAGACTCCTTTTTCAGAGATGTGGGCTGGTAAAGATCACTCATAGAGAAGCAAGAAACCTTCTAAATTTTTAAATTCAAATACCCCTTCAGCTAGCCTAAGACAGGCAGGTGGGGACTGGGCAGACCCCACATTAATTGTCCCCTACGGAAGCAAGAAAAAGGACAACTATGAAAAGATCTGGAGAGGAACAGAGCGAAAGTGGAATGTCACTGCTGTTTTCACCATTTTAATTTACCAAAAACTGACTGCGTCCAAGGGAAGGAGCTGCTAGCTAGGAATCACACGAGGACAGAACTAACATTTCTTTTAACTTAAAATTACATTTAAAAGTTGGATAAATTGATGTACACAGGCCACCATGTAGTCTGCCCTTGTATTTGTATGTCTACACTTTCCCCTAGATCAGCTCCAGCTCTGGCCGTGTGTTTAGGCATTGCTGTCTGTCTACCTTCCTTCCTCTGGTGGACCCAGAAAAAGAATTCAGCTACTGCTGCTAGTCTGTAACTTCAAAATGACACATAAATCATCTTAATCATCTTCACAGGGTTTTATACCACAGAACAATGCAGGACATGCCTGGATAAATGTCTTATTTACACGTGACAGTGACTGGCTTGGTGGGTCACGGTGACAAGGATCAGGCAGGCAGGCCGTTCTCCTCACTGCTGAATTTGCTTCTCACAAAAGAGGGTGGAGGAGAACAGTCAGTCAGCAGCAGAAATGTTGAATACGTTTTATTTATTTAAATCCTAATGCCTTCATTAATTGCATCTCAGAGTACTAAGGAAAGGGAAAGCAAAATCTACTGTCCTAGAAAAGAAGAATTAGACAAGTTCAGCGACATTTGATTATTTGGAAAGGATTCTTTATGGAAATTATTTCTTAATAAACTAAGCTTTCATGCTGAAGTCACGACTAAGATTTGCAAACATTTATACAAAGCTCATTTGTTACAGAAAGTACACACACACACACACACACGCATATATACAATATGCAATTATTAGCCAGAAATTGTTGTTGTTGTTGTTTGAGACAGAGTCTCCTTCTGTCGCCCAGGTTGGAGTGGAGTGGCGCGATCTCAGCTCACGGTAGCCTCTGCCTCCCAAGTGATTCTCCCGCCTCAGCCTCCTGAGTAGCTGGCACTACAGGCATGCACCACTATGCCCGGCTAATGTTTGCATTTTTAGTAGAGATGGGGTTTTGCCATGTTGACCAGGCTGGTCTCGAACTCCTGATCTCAGGTGATCCATCCACTTCCACCTCCTAAAGTGCTGGGATTACAGGTGTGAGCCACAGCTCCCAGCCTAACCAGAAGTTTTATAACCAAGAGATTCAAAATTCACGCTGCCTAGTACCACGTGATTCTTGACTTATTTTCTAGCTCTTTGATGCATTCATTTTCAGGCTAACGTAGGGAAGGAGTGTGACTGTTAGTTCATCTTCGGGTATTGTGTGATGAAGTAGTGCTCGAGCATCAGCAATGAGATGCCCATGGAGCTTGCAAACACTTCCCTTAGCCAATGTCAGCATTATTAGTTCTCCTTCCAGAAGGACTTTCAATCCAAGAAGTCAATCCACTTTTATTTCCTCACGCTTTCCTCACCCACTGGTAACGTGTCAACATCCTCTGAAATCGCCTGAGGGTGAGGAGCTCCAGGTAGAAAAGAAGAAAAGAGTATGATCACTTTAAATATAACTAAATGATAATATTCAGGTATTTTCCTCTATAAACTCAATACAATACAGCTATCGAATCCACTGTAGCTATAAGAATACAGGTATTTTTTGGATTTGAGGTAGATATCCTGAAGAGGTTTTTTTCTTCTGTGTCCCTAGACCTTTGTTCTTTCTAAAACTGTGCTGAGATGAAGGCCTCCCGCCTGTGGTCCTGAGGATGGTGTTGCTAAGCAGCAACAAGGTCCTCTTGCACTGTTTCCAGAGCCAGTCACTCCAGCCTGCCTCAGTGCACACCTGGGCACCAGGCAGGTGTCTGGAAGTGACTCATTCTCTAAAGAACATTTGCCTCTAGAATTTTTTTAGAAATTCAGTTTAAATCAGGACATATAAAATCAGCCTTAATAACCGTGAAGTTATAAATATAGTTTTGTGAAATACAGAGATTGACAGCTTGGATAATCAGGAAAGAGCGAGAATTAAATATAGAGAAGAGGAAGGTAACTAATGTTAGCTGAACAAGTCATTTCAACTGTAATTTTAAGATAATAGCTTTTGAAATATGGTCCTTGTGGAAAACTGGAAGCAAGAATTTATGTGACTCTAAGGCAGAAGCTCAATGTTTAAGAGAACAGAAATATGCTTTTAATTAGTGTGATGACTAAAAACACAAAATGCTTTAGTGGGTCTTTTCTTATTTGATTACAAGTCTTTGTTGAAGCTGTCATATGTAACTTTCAGTAATTTCATGTAATAATTTTAAGCCACAAATTAAAAATCTGCCATATCAATGAAGAACATGTTGATTAAATGGTTTATATGAAAAGCAAGGAGGAAAACAACTTGAAAATATTAAAAGCATTTAGCCTTGTGATGATTGCCAAAATGACTAATTAACAATACTGATATTTTTCCTTCTGTCCATTTCACAAATATAAATATTAGAAAGCATATTAATTAAATTAAAAGGCACCAAACAGAAATTGATTTTTTTAACTTGTGAAAATGTCTAGGCAAAGACTATGTACATCAGTCTTTTTATTCCTATTTTCAGAATGAAGATTCATTACTATTATGAGTTGAATTATCTCCCTCGTAAAAAGATAAGGTGAAATCCTAACCCTGGGAACCTCAGACTGTCACTTTATGTGGAAATAGCATCCTGACAGAGAAAGTCAAATTAAAATGATGAGGGAGGAACCCAATCCTGTATAACTGGCACCCCCTATAAAAAGGGACATTTGCACACAGACAAACGCAGGAGGAAGATGATGTGAAGACACAGACAGAAAGTCAAGTGAGGCTGGATTGATGTGGCCACAAGCCAGGAGTCCCTGGTCGACCAAGAGCTGGAAGAGGCAGGAAGGACCCTTTATCTCCAAGTCTCAGAGGGAGCATGGCTCTGCTGACACCTTGATTTTGAACTTCCAGCCTCGGAACTGTGAGACTATATATTTCTATTTTAAGCCACCCAGTTTATGGAAATTTTTATGGCAGCCCTAAAAAACTAATACAATCGTACTTCTGATAATATAAAAATGCATCCTCAGGATAAAAATAATCTCATTATAAAAATACACATAAGTACAAAAAATAAAGAAGAGATTAAAAATCTTCAAAAATCCATCCAGCCTTTAAATAAAAGACTCTTTTGGTGATCATTCTTTTATTTCATCTGTTTATGAATATATGCCATCATGCAGTACACAATTTTAACCTGTGCATTTCAAAATGATATTGATTATGAAGATGAATTAGAAGTATTTGTATTCCTCTTACATAGTAAAACATAGCACTTGTGATATATAGAGGCTGACTTGTTAAGTTATATTTTGAAGTTCCGATGTGTGCATGCGTGTTTTCTCAAACATCCTGTAGCATGACTAGATTCCAGGGACATCAAAAGAGATTACCTTTGCTGTTTACCAGTCAATTTCTGAAAATGTTCTTCTATTAGAATACCAGGCATTTATTATAAAATTATTATCTCTGTGAGAAAAAAACCTACTTGAAGGTAAAACACTTTAAACTTGCCAAAGTTTGATTGATTAATGTAATAGGATTATTGAAATAATAATCCTGTATTAAGCAAATTTTTCATAAGAAAGAAGGAAGGGTTTGTCATCTGAAAATAGCTTAAGAGATCATGATGAAGGGCAGGTGGACAGAACTGTGCATTAGAGATGAAATATTCCCACTCAGAACTTTGCACATCCTGACAGGCATTATTTGAAATACTTTCATTAGTTTACAGTTTATTTTCCATTTTCTATGGGCAATACATTGTCATATTTAATCATCATCTTGACTACATGTGTAATTATCATTTCTCATTGAGTGAGACAATATTTATTCAGCGTGAGGATTTTCCTTACTCGCTACTTCTTTTTTGACTTTTTAACAGAGCTTTAATTTTTTAATATGTGTGTATATATAATTATATTTTTAAAACACAGCAGCACGATTTCTGCCCTGAATGCACGTAAATTTGAAATACTGACCACAAGCAGCTTCCTTTACCGTGCACTTCCTGGTAACTTCAACTTGCCGTGATCTCAGGGAAGGAACTGTGTGTACCAGCTATTTCTGTGCACACCTGTACATGTTTATCTGCTGTAATATAGTTCATACATGCTCCTGAAACGTTAGTTTCATTGCATTTTTTATGCATTAAAATCAACGAATCAATGAAATCTTGGGTTGGATAAAGAGGAGGGAAAGGACAATATCTGGCAGGTAGGAAATGCGATCAAACCTCACAAAGGCATGAAGTAAGCAAGCAGGAGAATTCTTTCACAGCTTCCACTTAAGGATTAATGTTTAAGAAATTTGTCTTTCTAGTGGAGCTGGATTATTCATCACTATTTCTCTCAGGTTGATGTTTATCTTCAAATTTGTTCTAGAAGTAGAAGTGGTTTTGTATTTAGAGAGACAGGCGCTGAGACCTTCCTGCCATCTTCAATCGATGGATACTTGCTGAGCAGCTGTTCTGAGACATTGTTCTGGGGGCTGGGGATAAATAGCAGAAGACAGCCAGAGCCTCTCTGCCCTGGCGTCTGATAGCAAAGGGCAGTAAGTGTTTGTGACAATTTCAGGTGTTAAAAATTCTACTGGTAGAAAAGAGACCCGAAAAGGATTGGTTAGAGAAAGGGTCAACCAACAAGCTCAGGGCAGAGTAGGTAGAGACCTGTCCCCTTCTGTTAGCCAAATCCAGACCCTTTTTCACTAGATCACAATATTTTCTGGTCAAAAGGAGGGATGGGAAGAGACATTATTTTTACTCTTGGCTTCAAATCTTCCTCATAATGTTTGTTACATATAAACCTTATTTCTTATTTGTTTTTCTATTTTTGTTCTAATATTAACATACTTTTTGACAACTATTTTTCCATTGCGACTAGGGACATGTGTCCCTAGATTTAGATTTCTGTCATTTTATGTGTGAGTTTATGTTTTGCATCAGTTTTAGAAAGTTTTCAATTGTTATCGTCTCAAATATTTCCTTTTCTTTATTTTTTTCTTATTTTATTCTGGGACTTAAATTACGTGCATGTTGGACCATTTATAATTACTTTGCCTCAGTTCTCAGGTGATTTGTTCTATTATATTTTTCAGTATTTTTTTCCTGAGATATTTTAATCAGATTGCCTTCTAAATCATTAACCATTTCTTAGGCCATGTTCAGTCTGCAATCAAGTGCTTCTTGTATTTTTTTTAATTTCTGATGTTATTTTTTATATTTCTGACATTTCCATTTTTGCATACTGTTCACGATGCTGCTGAAATTTTCCATTGCCACACACATTCACCTCCCCTGGCAAACCCCTTGGAATTTTGCTCATGTTTTCTTAAGGTTCCACTCTGCTAAATATATCAATATATTGTTTAGGGGACTGTTCCTATTAATTGTTTCATTTTATGACTGTGGGTCTATTTTCTTGAGTTTGTTTGTATGAATACGTGCGTTTTGCAATTTTTTTATTGTCAAACCTTCATTAATAGAATACAATAAACATACGAAAATATGTACCTACCAATCCCCCTTCTTCTAATTCCCAGAAAGCAAAAGTACTTCTCAGAAATTTCTCACAAAATACACACATATGCAATCCACACACAGTTTGAGAAATGAATAACCTTCCCACCCCCGATTTTTTCCCTTAACCTAGTCACCGCCCCTCCTCCCAGCCGTCCCCTCCCAGGTAGCCCCATCCTGACATTTATGATGATCCCTTTACTGCTTTTCTTTACATTTTTAACACTTAAATCTGACTCTCTAGAATAGCATCTTGCTTGCTTTTTATTTTAACTTTATGTAAATAGAATTATACAGTTTATATTATTTTATGCTGGTTTCCTTGCATAATATTATATTTGCAAGGTTCATCCATATTGTGGTTTATATTTGTACCAAATCTGGACAAACACGTTACCGTATCTTTTATGATTATAGATGCACTTGTCCTAAAGACAATTTTAGAAAATTGAATCTAATAGTAAACAACAAGAACAATGTGTCATATCTAAGTGGGGTTTATCCTAAGCATGTGAGTCAATTTTTGAAAAGCAATGTGAAAATTACTTCCCAGTTTTTGAATGTGTAACAGTATAGGCTCTTTTCAGGTCAGCCCTTAGGGTGATGGTTGAGCCGATCAGATTTGAGCCGGGTGTGGAGCTGATTAGTTATAATTTGATTCAGGTTATCACAGGATTCCAGTCGAGTTGGAGGTCAGCACTCTCCTTCCACTGAGGTCCGGGGTCCCAGCACACGTGGGAATCCTGAGGTCGCTTGTCCTCCCAAGCCGAGCCACCTGCTTTGGATCCATGCAGGATCTGTCCTTGCTGGAGGGTCTATGGCCTGCTCTGGGGGCAGCTGAAAACCCTTTGATCTCAGTTCCTGGCTTCTACTTTCTGAGTCCAGGGCCGTTTTCTTCGCCGGCAGTGCTGGGCTCTCAGGCCTCCTAAGGGGCATCCCGCAGGGCCTTGGTAGCTGCTTTAGATGGTTTCTCTCCTGTGGACCTACTCAACTCCTCTAGTCTTCAGTAATTGAAAGCCTGGGATGCATTCGACTTTTAAAATCTCAAGTTTCCTCCCCTGACCCCACAGTTTTCAGGAGAAAACCCAGGTCAACAGATGCTGCCTTACCCTCCCTCTGAAGGGTGGGGGGCCCCTCAGATCAACTCATCTCCACCTTCTGCCCCGGTACTTGCCCACCGTCAGACAGCTCTTCCCTGGAACTCGCAAGAGCCCTTGTAGATCTCAGGGAGCCGTCGCTTCCAGCTGTTTTTATCCACCCCCTCCCTCAATCCCCTTTGACACATGACACTTGGGCACTCAGTGAGACCCATGGACAGGTGGGCAGGGGAGAAGGCTGTTTCCATTGCTGGAGCTCGACCAACGTCAGCTCTGACATACAACTCCCCCAGGCCACTGAACACCCAGGAGAAGTTCATCTGACTCCTCCTTACCGAAGCTGTGTCAGATCCATCTCACTTCTGCAGTTGACCCGACTCGTGGAAGGTCGCTTCTGATTTTCTGTTCAGTTTATTTACACTTTTGTGTCTTGAGTTTTCTTAGGGTTAAAAAAAAACTATGGTTTTTGTAGTTTTTCTGACTCATTTTATTTTATGGTGAGAGTGATGGTCTCCTCTAACTTCAATATCTGAATCAGAAGCAGAATTCCCCCAACTTCCTTATTACACAGTTGAGAAAACTGACAGTTACAGAGTTAAGCGACCATGCAGCGAAATTACATATGGACCAATAAAAATCAAACCAAAAGTAGGGTATTTTTGTCTCCAAAGTTGTATTTGACTGAATTGACTAAAGTCATTAAATAGACAGTAAATTAAAGACATGGAGAAGATATTAGCTTTAGGATAATTGGTAGAATATGTCATCATGAAATTTAACATTGTGAACTAGCGAAATCTGATGTTGTCCTTCATGATTAGGTTGTTTTTGTAGGTGGTTACTAATAGCTGAGAATTGCAGGAGGGAAGTGAGAGCTGTAGGCATTTTCTCCCACGCATCTCTTGAGTAGATGGTGTGTTACTGTGACAACAGGTGTCAGATGACAGGAAGGAATTTTTATTAGCAGGCAAGCAACCAAAGCGATCCCAAACAGCCTGCTCTGTGAACTCAGTATCCCAAACAGCCTGCTCCGTGAACTCAGTGAAGTTCCACGCCATTTTCCTTCCTGGTGTTCCATTCCACAGTGGCCGAAATCTCATCTGAATCAGCTGTGACAATACTCCAGCAGAAACATCAGGCTACTGAATCATTAAACGCACATCTAAACACAGGGAAGTTAAGAATTCTAAATCGAGAGGCTGACTCTAAAACAGCATTCAGCTACATGTGACTGCTGAGCACTTCAATGTGCCTGGTGGACAGTGAGATGGACGCTAAGTGTAAAATACAAAATCCAAAGGTTTCAAAGGCAGCATGAAAAAGTGAAATATTGTATTAATAACGTTTATATTGATTACATGTGGAAAGGATATTTTGAATGCATCAAATTAAATATATTATTAAATTTAATTTCACCTGCATCCCTTTGTTTTTACTATCACTACTAGAAAAAGTAAAATTACATAAGTGCCTCACATAATATTTTCATCATGAAGCATTTGTCTAAACTAATTCATATCTGTTTCATTAGAAATTATTATATGCAGGCCAGGTGTGGTGGCTCATGCCTGTAATCGCAGCACTTTGGGAGGCCGAGGTGGGCAGATCACCTGAGGTTGGGAGTTCGACCCTAGTCTGTCCAACATGGTGAAACCCCGTCTCTACTAAAAATACAAAAATTAGCTGGGCATGGTGGTGGGTGCCTGTAATCTCAGCTACTTGGTAGGCTGAGGCAGGAGAATTGCTTGAACCTGTGAGGCAGAGGTTGCAGTGAGCCGAGATCACGCCACTGCACTCCAGCCTGGGCAACAAGAGCAAGACTCTGTCTCAAAAAAAAAAAAATAATAATAATAAGATTATATGCAAATTAATCTAAGATTGGAAAGAGACACGATGGGTGTCCTGTTCCCAATAATTTGGCTATATTGTTAGAGAAGATGGACGCTGACCCAGCAGAGTTGGCTTTACCATCACACAAGTTGAATTTTTTTTTTTCAATCTCCTTCTGAACAATGTCTTTATGCACTCCAAGAAGTGATTCTTTTCTATGCTGATGAAGTCGGGGACTCTCTGATAGGATGGTTATTGATTGTAGCTATGTAAGCCCCAAACCGCCTCTGAGATGAGTCCAGGACTTTTCAGTCCCCAAGATGCATGTCTTCCTGCCTCGCTAACGCTCAAGTTCTGCAACTAGACAATGGAGAGATTCTTAACTCCACAACCAGCCTCCTCTCTCCAGAGCCCTTCTCTCAGGGTGACCACTCAGTGCAATTCATTTAATATTACCAATTGTGGCTATTTTCATTCCCATCTCCAGTGTTTTAAATTGACCCATCTAGTTCATGGACCACATCACCGCTGACACCAAGAACCAGAGCTGCCCAGCACCCCTAGAGCGATTCCTTGGAGGCTTGGCTCACGAGGCTCAAGCCTGGGATCCACCCCACGCCTTTTCGGATGTCCGCCCTGTTTCACCCACTGCAGCACCCACTTCTCTTTGGTGTGTTCACCTGTCAGACTGCCTTTTAATTTTTTTTAATTTTAGTTTTAATTTTTATTTTTTGGGGGGATGGAACCTTCTTCTGCTGCCCAGGCTGGAATGGGGTGGCATGATCTCAGCTCACTGTGACCTCTGCCTCCGGGGTTCAAGTGATTCACCTGTCTCAGCTTCCCAAGTAGCTGAGACTAAGCCACCTGCCACCATATCCAGCTAATTTTTGTATTTTTAGTAGAGATGGGGTTTCACCATGTTGGCGAGGCTGGTCTCGAACTCCTGACCTCAAGTGATTCACCACCTGTGCTTCCCAAAGTGCTGGGATTACAGACATGAGCCACCAAGCCCAGCCAAGACTGCCTTTTAGATTTAATCTGCTTATGCTCTGACTTTCCATAAATTCCTTAATCATGTTATAGCCAAGATTTTTAAATTGATACATACTATTTGCACATATTTATTGGTACATGTGATATTTTGATAGGTGCACAGAACGTGTTATGATCAAAGTAGGGTAGTTAGCATATCCATCACCTCAAATGTTTATCATTTCTTTGTGTTGGGAATGTTTCAAATCTTATAGTTGTTGTGAAATATACAATAGAGTAAACCTGCTGGGCTATGGAATATCAAAATGTATCCCTTCTATCAAGTCTATGTTTCTATCCATTAACCGACCTCGTCATTCCTCCTCCCCAATCTACACATCCTTTCTAGCCTCAGGTCTCTATCATTCTACTCTCTAGCTCCCTGAGATCAACGTTTTATGCTCCCACATATGAGTGAGAACATGTGATATTTGTCTTTCCGTGCCTGGTTTATTTCACTTAACCTAATGACCTCCAGTTCCATATATGTTGCTGCAAAACACATTACTTCATTGTTTGCTATGGCTGAATAGTATTTAATTGGTATATGTACCACATTTTCTTTATGCATCCATCCACTGATGGATGCTTAGGCTGATTTCATGTCTTAGCTGTTGTGAATAGTGCTGCAATTAACAAGGGAGTGCAGGTGTCCCTTTGATATCATGATTTCTTTTCCTTTGGGTAAATACCCAGTAGTGGGATTGCTGGATCATACCGTAGTTCTATCTTTAGTTTTTCAGAAACCTCCATCCTATTTTCCATAGTAGCTATACTAACTTACATTCCCATCCACAGAGGATAGTAAGGATTTCTGAATCGCGCAATGACTTTCCCGTGAGATCACTTCTTCTCCAGCCACAGCGATTAAACAAAACAGAATAAATAATAGAATATGCATGGAAGTGGTATAGCCAAATATTCCGAGTTGCAATAGAAAACACATTAGTTTTAGAAGCTTTGCCTGCACCATTGCTTAGTCTTAGTGATTGCCCATGGCTGAGAGCAGTCTTTTGCCCAGCGTTTCTACCACAAGCATGCTCTCCCTGGACTTGCAGCCTGCACACTTCATACGTGGCTGTGAGAAAGGTTAATCCATTTCAGTCATGGATAGGCTTTAAACTAATTAGTAGCCACATTCACAAGGTATTATGCAGAACCTCCTAGTCAACCAACTTTCTTCAAAGATGTCTCTGCCAGACCCCTACAGGTTTGTGTGGCTGGTTGGCCTTTTGCAATTCATTCCCTCGGGAGTCAATTAAGTTATTTTACCCTAAAAGTTTTCCTTCTTTCTAGGAGAGTTCCGTAGGTTACTAGCGCACTTGGTACTTTTAATTAGCAGTTTTACGACCTGCTTCTGCACTCTGTGTCTCTGCAGAACAGCTGTATTCAGTATGCAACAGGAGGCACAGCTTTGATTCCTTTTCTTCCCTTAAATGTGCAGTATTCCTCATAACTATTAATAGGGGATAGAAGATTAAATATTAATCATTGGTAGTCCTGATAGATTAAATATCAGAGAGATGCATAGTTAATTTTCAACACCTTGGAGTGACAAATCATTTTTTCTGACCACAGAATTTAAAGCAAGTGACTAAGTTCGAGTTTCATATGTTTAAGGATTAAACAAGTGATGAGAATAGATTATGACTTTAGTCAAGTCTAAGCTTATGTAATTTCTTCCTTTAGTAATTTATCTTTATTACCTGTCTTATGTTCATATCACAACTACAAAACTACTCAGCCAAAGAGATATTTCAGTGAAGAGAGTTAAAAAATTATTTTAACTTCTAAAGTAACTTTCAAATATGTTTAGATCAGTGATGTTTTGTTTTGCTTTGTTTTTTGGGGGGTCAGATTTTTATATTCTGCGAATGCTTTTTTCTTTTTTTGCATAACCTGTGACCCTGTTTTTCTTTTCTTTAATTAAAAAGATCATAGTAGTTAGCCTAGCTATTCAGCTTAGTAAAAATTGCATGGTGCTCAAATTTAAATAAATAAAAAGCAAATGAGCATTTGTTCTGAAAAATATTAAAGAATATGAGAAAAAACACCCTGTAATAATTTTCTCAAGAACATATAAAAGCTTGCATCGGCCGGGCGTGATGGCTCACACCTGTATTCTCAGCACTTTGGGAGGCTGAGGCAGGCGTATCACAAGGTCAGGAGTTTAAGACCAGCCTGACCAATGTGGCGAAACACCGCCTATATTAAAAATACAAAAATTAGCCGGGCATGGTGGTGTGCACCTGTAGTCCCAGCTACTTGGGAGGCTGAGGCAGGAGAACGGCTTGAACCCAGGAGGCAGAGGTTGCAGTGAGCTGAGATGGCGCCACTGCACTCCAGCCTGGGCGACACAGGGAGACTCCACCTCAAAAAAAACAAAAAAACAAACTTGCATCATAGAATAAAGAAAAAACGAAAAGATCACCATTAGAATCCTCTAATGTAATTATCTATGAGGAAAGAAGCAGAGAAGGAGAATGAAAAATCCATTCATTCAACAACAACAAAAAATACGGTCTAGACTTTGCTGTCAGTGCTGGCAATGTAGCTACTGAAAAACAACATTTTCCTTCGTTGAAATTACATTCGAGTGAGTCTCAATGCCTGAAGGCACCTGCCTGTTTTCTGCAGCGGGTACAGGGAGCTTTACGTATCTTCCTGTCCATCCATCCTGCAGCTCTCTGGGGGCAGGTCCATTGGTTTCAATGGTGAAGAAACTGTCTAAGGCGGTGTGCCTTGTTCAGCATCACACTCAAGCTCTATATCTTAGACAGTGCTACATACCAGGCTACGCTATGGGCCTTCCTCTGACATCTGGGTCCCCTTTCCCCGAGATCAGCCCCACCCACAATGGCTGCAGCCCCCAGCATCTGCCTCCAGAGCGGCGTCTTCTGTGTGACACTCAGGGATGGAGCAGGGGGAGTGTTCGCAGGGAGAGGACTTCCGGAACCGGGCCGATTACCTTCATCGGTGTTAGCAATTGTGCCGTCTGGTAAGCTCTGCATTCACTTTCCCAAGGATGGCCCTTCACTGTCCTGGAGCTGTAGAACTTGATCTGTTCACACCCTTGAATACAGAAATGAATAGGGTTTTCCAGGAAAACTTCTGGGCAGCGTAGAGGTCCTTACAGGATTCTGGAAGATGTGCTCTTTCCAAACAAAAATATCACCCAAGAAAGAGAGAGACATTGTTTCCAGGAATATTGGGTTGGACCTCATGGTGCTGTCTGGGCCACAGGCCTGAAAGTAACCATTGGCTGTTGGGACAAGAATCGGGGAGCCCAGGAGGAAGGCTGCCTCTCGGAAGATGATTTGGAAGAATGGAAATATGATAGATAAAATCGTGGAATACCCAGAATACAATGTAGATACATATAGAAAAATATGCATGTAAAATGTCATCGTTAATGCAAAAAACCCACAACTCTGCAGAAAAGAAAATGCGATTTTAAAACACCAGACTCCACACAAAGATTGTAATTTGACTAAGAGGGTGGTATAATTGTAGTGGGGGGTGGTGAGGAAGGAAACAGGCCCAAGGAAGAGTTGATCTGCCGCTGTCATTAAAAAGCAGTTCCCTATGCCCCAAATGGATAAGTCTCTGAAGGACAGTGTGAAGGTTTTGTTTAATAAATCTGAAGGTTACCACGGGAAGACTCAGGTGACAGAGTTCACAGCCATTGTGTCTAGTGTCTAATGAGCTGGAGTGTGAGAAGTAACAGAAAAACAACCGTTTTATTTCTCAAAATGATAAATAAATTTCACCACTAGTTAAGTTCTTAATATTAGATATGTACTAGTCTGATAAAAATTAAAACACAGGGTGGGTGTGGTAGCTCACACCTGTAATCCCAGCAGTTTGGGAGGCCAAGGCGGGTGGATCACCTGAGCTCAGGAGTTCGAGACCAGCCTGGCCAACATGGTGAAACCCCATCTCTACTAAAAATACAAAAATTAGCTGGGTGTAGTGGCTGGCTCCTGTAGTCCCAGCTACTCAGGAGGCTGATGCAGGAGAATTGCTTGAACCTGGGAGGTGGAGGTTGCAGTGAGTCGAGATCATGCCATTGCACTACAGCCTGGGTGATAGAGTGAGACTCTCCCCCCCTCCAAAAAAATTAAAACACAAAGAATTCATTTTATTTAAATGAACTTGCTCTTTTAAATTCATATAAAAAGTTGTGAAAAAAATCAGAAATAGAACCTGTTTTTCCAGATTCCCAAAAATCTCAGGATGAAAATTTTTTTTTTTTTTTTTTTTTTTTTTTTGCCCAGTTAAACACATATTTTTAGTGAGAGCTTGTGATCCAGCCACTGCACTGGGCACCGAGGACTCCAAGTGGAAGATGATGTCATCCACAATGGCATCTCCAGGGGAATCGATTTTGATGACTCCAATCAAGGCAGGCGGGTCAATGGCAGCGACCACTGAAGATGCTATGGCTTGAGAGGGAAGGAGAGAGGCAGCCACTGCCTGAGGTGAGCTGGGGTGATTCTGGATTAGGAGGAGGACTAAGGCACTTGGCAGGGGAACTGGATCAGAGCAGAGAGTCAGATCTGCAACTTTTTTTTTGAGACGGAGTTTCCCTCTTGTTGTTGGCCAGGCTGGAGTGCAGTGGCACGATCTTGGCTCACTGCAACCTCTGCCTCCCGGTTTCAAGTGATTCTCCTGCCTCAGACTCCCGAGTAGCTGGGATTACAGGTGTCCGCCACCATGCCTGGCTAATTTTTGTATTTTTAGTAGAGACGGGGTCTCACCATGTTGGCAAGGCTGGTCTCCAACTCCTGACCTCATGACCCTCCCGCCTCAGCCTCCCAAAGTGGTGCGATTACAGGTGTGAGCCACCGCGCCCAGTCTAGATCCGCATCGTACAAGGCTTTCTGCCTGTGGGAACTGCAAACGCATAAGGACCAGTGGCAGCTGAGCTCAAAAGCAATGGAGAAAAGGGGGCAGGTTACAAAGGCACCAAGCCTTTTTCCTATCATTCACATCCAATTCAACTATAGAGGAAATAGATGTCTATACTGGAACCAGTACACATGTATAACTGCTGTTACTGGTCATTTATTTTAATATTTCCATCTGGATTTTTCAGTTAAAGATGCACCCGATATGTTTCATTTCTTGAGGTAAAATTCATAGGGCAAAACTGGTTTGTAATATAAAGTAGTGGTTAACACTATGAGCTTCAGACTCCAGGCTAGTATAGTATTTGAGCAAGGTTTATAACCATTCTGGAATCTGATGGTCTTAACCATCAAAATAACTATTAACTGTATTTACTTAATGGTGTTGCAATATGGTTTAATTGAGATAACATATTAGAGTAATCCAAAGGAGCCCAGCAAATAAGAAATTCTCACAGAATTCATCTCGGTCCTTCTCAGATTGTGGGTTTATTGAATCCTTCCCTCTTCCTCTGTCTCCCACTGGCTAAAAGGAATAGCAAAATGGATTAGCTCACTTTTAACAGACAGATCCAGGATTTAAGATAAATATTTTAATATAAAATATATCCTTCTTTATACTGTTTTGCAATGAGTAATCCTGTAAGATTGAATACAAGATGGAAAGGTAAGCCAGAATACGTTAAATTATTCTTGGTTTTACGTAATGTTCAAAAACACTTAGCATCCAAAATGTGCAAAGTATGCTTTAAAATTCACGTTAAGAAATCACTTTTGCTAGACATTTCTTTCTATCAGACATTATTTCAGAAGTATTAGTATAAGTAGGGTAGAAATAGTCTGACAAAAATCTTTCATGACACTTACACTCATATCCTTGCTTACAAATGCATGAATACATTGCATTCTATGCTTCTTTTATACTTTATAATTTCATCCTTTTAAAAAACGTATTTTTTCTTTTATGTAATATTTGTAATAACTAAAATTTATATTTTTCATCAAATGAGGAGTCAATATATAAATGAAATGCATTCAATTACGTTAGTCACTTTAGCGAGACTCTGCCTTTAGAAGTCTTGCACACCCCGATGGATGTCACAGAAAATTCAGGAGAGGATGCTGATGCTGGGAGCTCCCAGTGGGACAGCCCTTCCTGGGTCCTTACCAGCCCACTGAGCATGTCTTTGAATGCATCTTTTGTGACAGCTCACAGCTGGGAGATATTTTGCAGGTATAGTAAAAACAATCTGCAAGCAAGGGAGGAATTCAAGACAGTGATTTTGACATTTTCTTGGTCTTCCTAAATTTTTTGTATTTATTTATTATTTATTTATTTTTTATTTTATTTTAAGTTCCGAGATACATGTGCAGAATATGCAGGCTTGTTACATAGGTACACATGTGCCATGGTGGTTTGCTGCACCTACTAACCCATCATCTGGGTTTTAAGCCCCACATGCATTAGGTATTTGTCCTAATGCTCTCCCTCCCCTTGTCCCCCACCGCCAACAGGTCCTAGTGTGTGTTGTTGCCCTCCCTGTGTCCATGTGTTCTCATTGTTCAACTCCCACTTACAAGTGAGAACAATCGGTGTTTGGTTTTGTATTCCATGTTAGTTTGCTGAGAATGATGGCTTCCAGCTTCATTCATGTCCCTGCACAGGACATAATCTCATTCTTTTTTATGGCTGCATAGTATTCCATGGTGTATATGTGCCACATTTTCTTTATCCAGTTGATTATTGATGGGCATTTGGGTTGGTTCCAAGTCTTTGCTATTGTAAATAGCGCTGCAATAAGCATACCTGTTCATGTGTCTTTATAGGAGAATGATTTATAATCCTTTGGATCTATATCCACTAATGGGATTGCTAGGTCAAATGGTATTTCTGGTTCTAGATCCTTGAGGAATCACCACACTGTCTTCCACAATGGTTGAACTAATTTACACTCCCACCAACAGCGTAAGCTTCCCTATTTCTCCACAGCCTCGCCGGCATCTATTGTTTCCTGACTTTTTAATCATAGCCATTCGGACTGGAGTGAGATGGTAACTCATTGTGGATTTGATTTGCATTTCTCTGATGATTGGTGATGATGAGCTTTTTTTCATATGTTTGTTGTCCACATAAATATATACAAAAATTACCTCAAGTTGGATTGAAAACTTAAATGTAAAACCAAAAACCATAAAAACCCTAGAAGAAAACCTAGGCAATACCATTCAGGATATAGGCATGGGCAAAGACTTTAAGACTTAAAACAGCAAAAGCAATTGCAACAAAAGCCAAAATTGACAAGTGGGATCTAATTAAACTAACGAGCTTCTACACAGCAAAAGAAATTAGCATCAGAGTGAACAGGCAACCTACAGAATGGGAGAAAATTTTCACAATCTACCTATCTACAGGAACTTAAACAAATTTACAAGAAAAAAACAAACAACCCCATCAAAAAGTGGGCAAAGGATATCAACAGATACTTCTCAAAAGTCTTCCTAATTGTTTTTTTCCTTTTTTTTTTTCTTTTTTTAGACGGAATCTCCCTCTGTCGCCCAGCTTGGAGCTCACTGCAACCTCTGCCTCCTGGGTTCAAGCAATTTTCCTGGCTCAGCCTCCAGAGTAGCTGGGATTACAGGTGCCTGCCACCATGCCCAGAAAATTTTTGTATTTTTAGTAGAGATGGGGTTTTGCCATGGTGAACAGAGTGGCCTCGAACTCCTGACCTCAGGTGATCAGCCAGTCTTGGTCTCCCAAAGTTCTGGCATTACAGGCATGAGCCATCTCGCCTGGCCTCTTCCTAATTTTTAATACTAAATATCTCATGGGGATTGAGAATAAAGCAAATATTTCCAAAGTGGCAATGCCCCTGTTGTAGAGCATAAAGGTCTTGGTGGAAATTTTGAGTCTCACAGACCTGGGTTTTCATAGAGTTTTACTCACTTTACACATTACAGACCCTTTGACAGGGCATTCTCTCCCTGCCTCTAGTACTGCCTCATCATATTGTTTCTTGGATGTTTTTAATATAACACAGCCAGTAACAGGCGCTCCATGTAATGACGCTATGCATGTGGTCTGTGAGCCGGGAGGTCAGTGTGTGTCATCCTTGGGCGCTCCACACCCCTCCCCAAACCCACGTAGATTCAGTGTGCTCAACCAGAAAGACGTAATCAGAGAGAATAGCCTGGCATTTCTTGGATTTGGTACCTATCTTTTCAGTTCAATAGAATGGAGTTAAAATAAAAAAAAAAAAAAAGAAACCTTTCTGAGCTCCTACTATATGACTGAATATACAGAAATGAAGAAATAAATAGACTCAGTTTTTCAATAACTTGCAGACTAAAGAGAAAACAGAAGCCCCAGCCACCTGGGGGCGGGGGAGGGGGGGCCTGACGTTAGAAAACACTAGGCCAGGTCTGCACAATGCAGCAGAAGAGTCCGACCTCAGGGCGGTGCACCTTCTTGACCTGAGATGAGACTAAGGCTAGAACGTTCAGAGATGGAACAGCCCGAGCCAAGTGATCGTGTGAACGGTTCCATGACCCTGAAGAACGAAGTGGGTGCGGCAGGACAGGAGACTGGTCAGGCAGAGGCCAGGTGAGGAGGAATCTCGTCTGTTGCCCTGAGACCTGGTGGACAAGGTGGAACCACTGAAAGGCACCTCCCGTCAGGCACACACATTAAGGACTCGTGACTGAAGGATGTTGGTTTGCATAAAGCTAAAAAAGCCCTTATCACAAAATGTGTACATGCAATGCCTGGTAGGCATAATGAATGTTGTGGAAACTGTTCTCAGTCAATTTCTCTAAGTCTTAGAGAGAGCAATGGATTATTCCTGTCTGTATTTTACATTATCACAATTTTTGTATAGACAAAGCCAGTATCTTTAGCTTGTCTGTCTCCCTCATCTGCGCATACGTACGGAGCATCGTCACCACCTGTTGGAATGACCTGAAGTGCAACAAAACTCCATACAGAAAAACCAGATCTATAACAGTGAGGCCAACAAGTTCCATTCTTATTGGAGGCAAGCACCCAATTCAATTAGCATCCAAATGTACAAAAATGAGTAATGTCCGTGTCACCCACGTAATGTGTGTGTTCTGAGGCCACGATCCCTTTAGTCACAAACAATGTCAACACATGCAAATCTCCGTCTTGTGTTTACAGATTCACAGTATGTAAATTAGAACAAGAAAATCATATCAGAACGTTTTATGGATACTGTTCTCAAGTATTTTAGTGTGACTTGGCATAAGGGAATGAGAAGGCGCCACAGAGGGAACTTGAGTTGATTGCATCTGGTGAGATAAACCCCAAGAAATCCTGGCTTGAAGACATCAGGCTGATGTGAGTAGAGAGAATGTGAGCCTGGGAATAAATCAGTGGAGAATTTAATGAGGTAAAATGCTTTGAAGTGGTTTAAAGTAATTCTTAAAGTGATTTTTAAATTGCACAACTAAAACTTGCCGAAAAATACAGCTGTTTTGTAATAAGTTGAACTCAGGAACAGCAGTTATCACTTTTGTTTTTTGTCTATGCCATGAAAGCCTGTCTTTGCAGAATTCCAAGTCCTCGAATAAAAGAAAAAACCACTGCTACTATTCAGGCAGATAAAACTCAATGATAAACATAGCTTGTTTAAGCTAGAAATCTGGGAAAAATTAAAAATGGAAATGCCACTTGCACCATCAGGGACAAATCTACTTGAAAAATGAAACTCTTCATGGAATCCCCACTAGGGCCATCCAGCCATTTCCCAGTGAGAGCATATTGCATTCAACACAGGCTGATGTGCGAAGTATAAAAGACGTTGCTATTCCCATCTTCACTGTAAACGTACAGTCAAATATCACAGCCAATTAATTAAATCAATTAACTAATTAACTAAACCTGAGCAACTTCCGATTTGGATTTTGTCTTTCCATTCCTCCTACCATTTCAAGATCAAATCTTGCTGAACAAGCTCTATCTAAGCTGCTTTAGGTGGTTTTTGCTCTTTATTTTTTTCCTTCATACTCTTATCTTTCTGTATGAAATATTTTGTGGTGAACGCAGCTATGTTTAATTTTGCCTGGCCTCAGTTTTTTTTTTTTTTTTTTCTGTTGTTTTTAAACACAGGAATAGGAAATTACATCTTCAGGGAGAGAAAATTATTCCAAGTCTCATAATTGTTTAACCTGGGAACAGAAAATTATGTTGTTTTCAGACTTCATGCCCTAAACATTTCAAATTGTTCTTACCGTTCTAATCTAAATTATGAGCCCTGCGTCCTTCTCAATCATGTGCTGTATTCCACACACAATAATACAAACCACAGTCCTCCGTTGTGTACGTGTATTTGCCTATCAGATTTCTCTAGAATAGAATCACAGTAAGGGTGATGCTCAAACACATCTTGTAAACATTGACTCTCAAATACCTGACTCAGAGCCTGAGACATGTCTTGTGCTAATAAACATGTGACTAATTATATAAATTTACAGCATAAGAAGGGCACGTGTAGATAGTGGCATGTGATTTATAAGATATGTAGGAAATTATCTTTGCTTGCTGTTTATAAGATAGCGTGCAAAACACCTGCTCGTTGAACAGGTGTTTATGCAACACCAACTCATTGAACTGTGAGATTTCTCCTAGTGGCAGAGTGTCCATTTCCGGAGAGGGTGTCCTATCTGAAGGGCTGAGCTCTGGAAGCCGAGGCTGTGCTCAATATTTCTGCTCACTCTCTGTCCCTCCTCTTCTTTCTGTGTGCTCTGTCTGTCAGAGGATTCTGATGTATGTAAAAAATCACATTTCGCCAAATTCCTGGCTGTCTGGATTATGGATACAGCTTCAATTTTCATATGAGACATTCTTCTGAGGGATTAGGAAGTCAAAACAGAAGTAGAGACATAGAGATAGGTGTGGATTCTCAGGGTGCAAGAGAAGGCATACAGGTATGGAATATTTAACTGATCTTGTCAGATTTTCTGAAATAAATATATTAGCTTCCATAGCTGAAGGGTGATCCAATTTAGTGTCTAGTAGTTGCATAAATTCGGGTCTAACTGGTGACCTGTATCAAATATGTGTGCAATACTCGAGCATCCCTGGTATAAGGCAGAGAGAAGGACTGAAAGGCTTGCATGGAAATGCTGGGATAAACGACCATGAATGGCTCCCACCTGCCTCCTCTGCTTACATCTCTAGGACAGTCCAGGGGACCACTCAGGTCATTAAGGTGCATGAATGACGGGAACTCCAACATCCTTAAAGAGCACAGTAGTAACTGATTTTGAAGGCCAGTGATAAAGGAGTGGAAATGACACCACCAAAATGAGGTCCTGGATGTCAATAAGCATGACAATGCACCAGAGGATGGGGCGGGCGTGATGGTCCCAGAGGGTGGCAGGGGCGGGGGTGGCCTGATGGCACCAGAAGGCGGGGGGGGGGGGGAGCTGATGGCACCAGAGGACAGGACAGGAGCTGGCATGATGGCACCAGAGGGCGGTGATGGGGGGAGGTGTGATGGTCCCAGAGGACCGGGAGCAGGGCGTGATGGTATCAGAAGGTGGGGGCAGCCATGATGGCTCCCCAGAGGGCTGACACACAGAGCTGGAGCTCACTAACAAGAGAGAAGGTGGACTTGGTTACTGTAGTGAATAGTAAGGTTGGGATAACAATTGGGATGGTTTGACCTGCAGGGAGCTGCCGCTAATTGATTATGGTATCCATAGGAGTGTAAAAGGGAGGCTGAAAACTAAAGCTTTGCTTGATTTTTTTTAACTCGGACTCTTATGTTCTATTTACCCTGCTAGATATAGGTTTTATTCTTTTCTAATGTGATCTGGGTCAAAATTAAAACAACAACAAGAACAATCCTCCTTGCCATTGGCTCCAGTTGGGTTTGTTCAACAAGGAGACCCGGTTTGGCGGAAGAAACTAAAGGGAAGCAACATAGTGAGGCCAGGGTATTTATTTCCCGTAACACCCAGCCAGGCCCTCTCAGGATGGCCACGTCCCTGGATTAAAGGTAACTGTTCTCCTCATTGCAGCCAGACAATAGGAACATCTACTTGCGTTTTCTTCAACCCAAACTCTCCCCCTTATCAGGTGTGGAGTAAGTGAGATTTGAGAGAATGGCCTTCCTGCTGCTAATCTCAGAATTATTTCTTGAACATCTCCCACAGCCTAACCCATGCCTTTGTAAATAGTCCCTTTCCTGCCAAAGTTCTGGAGAAGGCACAGCCCAAGGCTAAAATGTCAAGGAATCAGCTTAACTGGGAGGGAGAAGCACCCAGCTGTGAGTTAGAGGGACTGGGGAGTGAGAGAGCCAAACAGAGGTAGAAGGTCCCTCTTCCAGCTCTGCTGTCTTGGTGTTCAGGAATTATCCTGAGGGGATGCAAGGAGAACCACACCTCGGTCTCCAAGAGAGGAAAGGATGGGAAATGTATCTGACTAAATCTCACTAGTATCCCATTCTCCCAGTTTGCACCATGGGTCCGCGGCTAATTCCACACACCTGCTCTCTGGCCCGGCATTTGCACCGAAAGCAGCTATCCTGTGTGGTGCTGCATCCACGTTTGGAGGTCGAGGGGCCACCCCATTTAGGTGTTGTCCCAACTGAAGTAGGGAGATGATCAGAAGAGTATGAGAAAAAAACAAAAGATTGCTGTACAAGTCGTTTTGAAAATTAACTCTTCTTGAGCAACCCAATTTCAAATGAACCCTTCATTTCCTGATGCTACTCTAAGTGATACAGTAAGAAAAAAAAACAATATGCAGGTTGATGATCACGAGTGACTTGACATGGGTCCACATGGAGAGTCTAGTCCCTCCATACTGACAAAGCTGAAGCTGAAAGGATGTCACACCTTTGGTCTCCCGCAATTAAGCACAAGTGATGGTGGGGCTTGGGAATGACCGAAGTCTCCCAGGTCACCTTGGAATCCGCTGCCATCCCTTTTACCACCAGACTCACCAGGCTTCCAGCGCTGAGTGGAGATCAGGGCAGAAAGGGTCCTGCTGCCGCTCAAGGCGTGGGGCAGCTGCTGTTTCTGCTGAAGACTTAGGACTCAGGAAGTCACAGGTTTCTGAAGGGGCTATGGGAGCACAGAGGGCTTCCTGGTCAGTGGCAGGGACGACAATGCTGCAGATCAGGAGGAACCTGGGAGCGTCTGGGGAAATCTTTAGTCGCAGAGATTCATGGGCTGGGAGGGAGAGGGTGCATACACCTAAGTGAGTGTCTCCACAAGGCTCCTTCTCCAGATCCCTGGGTGTGGCACACTTTGAGTTTTGGAGCCAGAAAACAATGGCTAGCCCTCTTATTAACAGATTTCTTCAGTAATTCTCAGGATCAATGATTAAAACAAAACAATAGCAACCACAAAACAAAAAGAAAAATAAAACAAACCGCACACATCACATACAGGGATATTATGATAAAAGTTAACACCTCTGAAGCTAAACAATAACTGATACGATCTCCATGAGTAAAAAAAGTTACACAAAAGAGAAAAACTGAATGAGACTAGCAGTAGTTAGCGGTGCCAGATAAACTACAGAACACAAGTTGTTTTTCAATTTCCAAAGAATAATATATATTACATATTTTTATTAGGTTGGTGCAAAGTAATTGCAGTTTTTGTCATTAAAAGGAATGGCAAAAACCGCACACTTTTGCACCAACCAATATATAAAAATATGTATTATGTATCTATAATGGGCATGCATTATATATCTCAGATGCTGAGACATATATTATATAAGTATATCTATCTCAGATATTGTACAGGATATACTTAAAGGATATTACTTTTTTGTTTGTTCCATAAAAATAAGTTTGAAAGTTAAATGATAGAAGTTGAACAAACCCAATATCCGTCAAAGTGAAATTTAAGATTAAAACATGAATTCGTGAAATAAGTTGAAGACAAACATTAAATAAAATTTCATATGGTATGAAATGGCATAATGAAGGGGGTATAGCAAACATTAACCATTCTAGACCAAAGAATATAGCTGTTCAATTTACAAAGCAAAGATGGTTCTAAATTTGGGAGAACTTTATAATTTATAATCTTGGTAGATGATAATCATACATCTCTTTTAGAATATAGCAGACATAATAAAGTAAAAATTAGTGAGAATATAGAGAAACAAAAATATATAATAAACACATGTGGTTTAACAAATGTCTGCAAAATGATATAGCCTATACATAACTAAAATCAATATTTATGTCCACGGAGAAGTTCCAACATTTTTTCAAGTACTGTACAAAGTAATTTTGAAATGCTGGAGATTACATTTTTAAAAAATCTAATAAAAATACAAATATAAAAATAAAAAACAACCTTAGCATCTGTGAGGTTTAATAAAGTCTCTCCAAGATATCCTTACATCAAAAGATGCAATTGTAAATTGCATAGAATTCAATGAAAAACAGAGTACCACTGACTAAAATAATGCTTAGATATCAATGGTTGTGCAGTTTAATAAAAAGGAAATTTTTCCTGTCATTGTATCATATTTGAACAACTTCACCAGAATAAACCAAATGGAAACACAAACTACAAAATAATAAGAAAAAAGTTTAAATTAATAAAGCAAGAAACAAAAAGCATAAATAATAAGTAACTAGAAACCCTGGTTCTTTGTAAAAATGAAACAAAAAAGGTATTGAGCACAGTAATGCCAAAACAGAAAATATAATTAGAAATGATGAAAACATCATATAACCACAGATATAGAAGAGATGAAGTATTATAGGCTAATAATGCATGCAACTGTAGTATTATATCTTCTAATTCAGAAGCCTGGACAATTAGGCTGATTTTGTACACAGAATATATATTACCAGTGTTGACTCAAAATTGAATAGAACATTTGAATCAATCACTGAAAGTACCACGTACATTTTTGGAAAGTTGATGAAGGAGACATCGTTAAAGAGAGATTCGTTTTGTTACTGAAGTACAACTTAGGAGTGGATTGTTTTATATGGTAGGATGTTGGACAGCTCCCTGGTTCATTTTATGGCGGCAAAACCTAACTATGGGAACAAGATAAAGTCAAAAACAAATCAAAACAAACTAAACCCAAAGAGACAAAGAAGTACCCAGAGATGATTTCCCTTGTCCACCTGACTCGAGAGCTCCTCCACCACTGGTGTCCTCGGACGAATATTCAACATGAGCCACAACGCCCACCGCAAGTCATCTGTTCACGTTTCTCTTTGGGGTGAGTTCTACACTTTTTTTTTCTTCAATTCCCTGACCATTCACCCAAACGACTGCAGTCTTCCAGCCAAGGGAGGCTTGTCTCCCTCAGGAGAAGATGGAGAGCAGCTTCACTGGCAAGGGAGACGTGGGAGGGAATTCGGAACACACATGTCTAAAAATCTTCCGAATTTTCCCCACAGCTCCATTCTAAAGCTTGGTAGCCCACTACGTCTCAGTGTTGTAATTAGCACATGACATCCTCGAGACCCCGGGGGTTCAATGTACATCACAATTTTGCAAAACACAATTAGATTTAGAGTCTTTTTTTATCCGTATAAAAACTCTATAGTTAAAAGAAACAAGAAATCCCTTTGGCTCCTCCATAAAAACTCCTGTCTGACTGTGCTTTGAGCTGAGAGTTCAAGTTTCTCATTTTCCGTGTCTAGGTGTCCAGTGCAGTTGGACACAAGCGTTCCCTCCACAGACCTGAGTTAGAAACACTCAGCACCCCTGGGGTCCCTTCACGGGCCACTCCAACCAAGCAACCGCAAGGAAAGCTACATGGTTACGAGGCCACTGAGCCAGGCATTACGTACTGTCATGGAGGGGTAAACAAGGGCCCCAGGCCCAACCCTGAGACCGTTACTGCCACAAATCACTGCACCTGAAAGCATTCCGTCAGGAGAAGGGAGCCACCCTCAGTTCCACCCAGAGGACATGTAAATAGGGCTCGGGTGATGTGCTGGGGGGACTAGGAAAGTGGAAAGGAAAAAGGGAGAGGTTGAGGAGCAAAATGGAGACATGGAAAGGCAAGAGATTGTATATTCATAGAGATATAGGGAAGGGGACAAGATATTTTAAAGCCCGAAGGAGCAGACTTGGAAATAAACAAGACTGGGATTCAGGCACAGCTACCTACCTGCTTTGACAGAGGTCTTGCTCCAGCAAAGGCTGAGACCAGCGTTCAACCTGATGCCACTTACCATGAGCAAGAGAAACACAAAGCTGCACAGAGCCAGGGCACGCAGGCACCGGGAGTCCGTGTGTACAGTGAGGAAGGGAGAAGGCCCCTGGGCTACCCAGGGAGTCCTAGTTTCTGAATGAAAACGAAGCCACTTTGTGTCTCTCCCACCCTCTCTCCCTTTCTCTGCCTCTGTGTCTCTGTTTCTCTCCTTCTCTAATTCTCCACCTTCCCTGTTTCTCTTGCTTTCTGCTGTTCTCTTTCTCTTCCCCCCACTGTCTCTGCCTACCTCTCCTTCTCTCCTGCCTTTCCCCCTTTCTCTATTTCTGTTTGGTCTCTCCTCTCTCTCTCTGTCTTTCCTCTGTCTTTCTCACGGTTTCTCTCTATATATTCCTATCTCTCTAGATGTAGCTCTGGCTCTATACCTCTCTGTGAACTAGTAACAAGATGCAGCATGTAAAGTTATTTTCTCAAGGATATATTAGTCTCTGTAAAAAACATTTTTTCTCTCACAGTACTGTACATGTCAATGTGATTTTATTAAAACCTATTCCACCCTTTGATTTATAGAGGCTTTTCCCCCAAACTCTATTATTTATAATTCACATGATGGTATAAACCATTTTGTAGGTCAAATAAGTTTGGGACCTGACTTCATAATCTTTACTGCCACGATAATATATAATAAGCTCAGCGGGAACTATTTTAAACTCAAATGGAATTTCTGTCAGCTAATTCCTGAGATTTTTAATCTGACTTATAAATTGTCAAGTCTCAACAAGTATCAGCCACAAAAATAGGTATAAACGACATGAAGAAAATGATTTCAGTGGTAATACCAGTTAATTTGTCAATTATCACATCATGACAGAAAATAATGTATTTCATTAAATTTTCTTAGGTGTTGATTATTTCTTGTGGATCAGAAATGATCTTTTGCTTGAAAATAAATCACATTGGGAATTGTATAAAATTGGCAGAAAGTTAACCATTTTTGCTGTTCTGTACATATTTTAAACAAGAAATTTTCTACAAAATCGGAAGATGGACTTTTGGGGCTAGAACTTTCAACTATGATGTCCTGTGTTAACACAGAGAAATCTTATTTTAAGAACTGATTATATGAGGCAGAGCCAAAGCATGCTAATTATTTATCAGCCTGACTAACAGTTATGCTTTTAAGCTACTGAGAGGGTGTCATTGTGCTTGCAAATACTATTTTAGCTATAGCAGTTGGTTTCTGGTGGAATTGTATCAGCGATTTACTCCAAATAAATTTAAATGCATCAATTTCAAATGCAAACGGGACAATGTTACATCAGATGACCTACATGGGAAGGACTAAAATGATGACACAGAGGATGGTCCAAGGTTGACCAGCCGCCAAAAACCCCGAGACAGACAGCAGGACAGAGGGAAGTCCTCTTGGGCGCAGGCTACGCAGTAACAGAGACCTACCCCCAGGTTCACCACACACGCAGGGCAATCCCTGGACAAGACATCGGCATCGATGTAGAATCAGAATCAGAATAAATGATTACAGCCTCAGATTAAGAGGGAGTACCCCTTTTAAATGGCAGATGAAGACAATGAGAAGCCATTTGTTCACCTGTCTGTCACACACATTGAAAAGTTACGCGGACTTCGTAACACAGAATGGAAATGTGGGGGTGTTTGTGCCACGCCCTTGCCATCCCGAGGTGAACAAGCCCACAGCTAGGAACACAACAAGAATTGTAATATCACCGTGGGTTGGAGAGCTGAGTCCACTCTGGCCCTGGCTGTGGGCTGCAGCTCCGAAATCCTCAAGGAAGGTGGCCTGGGTCTCTCTGCTGTCACTGAAGGGGTTGGAACTGAATTACCTGCAAGAAAACAAAAATTATAATGTTCTCCTCATCGTCTGTGAAGTGAGTAGGAAATACAGAGGACAAAAGCAAGAAGAATCTCTCCTACTAAGTCTTAAAAAAATAGGACAGCCTGTCAAATGGGCAGGGCCATGAGTGGAAAAAGAAACAACTATTGACACTGGGGGCCCTGATTTCTCCCACGCACATGCTGCGCTGCTGAAACCTTCCCTGGAGCCATTCCCTCACAGCTTCCAGAGGTTGTGGGGGCATAGCAGGTGAGCCTGACACAGATTCCCCATGACACAAGTTACAAACAGTGTGAGGAACACCAGAAAATAACTATCCTCCCAAATAAAGCAATTATGAGTGAGAAACCAAAATAAACATCTTCAAATGTTCAAAACGATTAAAAAAAAAACAACAGTAAAGCAAAATCAAAATTGTCTAAAATTATTAGAAAAATGACTTTTGGAATGAGAAATACAATCATTGAAGTTAATAGCTCAATGGACGGTTTGAAGTAGGAACCAAAAAAGCCAAATAAAGCCCAGTGATTCATTAAATAGAGCAGAAAAAAATACAGTCGAGAAAAAATATGGAAAATATTGAAATGATCTAAAGGCATAGAAATAATAGAACAAGAAAATCCTATATGTATATCATAAAAATTAATGGAAGATTTGGGAAAAATGTAATATTCCAAGGTATACTTCATGGCAATTACTCAGATACGGAGAAAGGAAATACGTCCTCATATTAAAATTTTACAAAGTGTTTTTAAAAGGTGTTTTACAAAAACATCTACCCCTGAAGATATTACAGTAACATTACCGAGTATTACTGAGTATTAAAAAAAAATCTTCATAGCCACACAAAAACCAACCAGCCAACCAAACAATCTAAAACAGAAGAAAAGTTGGAGGATGGCAGACTTCTCGTCAGAGCATGGCGTAACAGTCTCCTCCCCGCCCCCCCCCCGTGTTTTTTGATGTTGTTGTTGTTGTTGTTGTTGTTTTGGTTTTTTGTGGGGTTTTTTGTTGTTGTTTTGAGACAGAGTCTCGCTCTGTCGCCCAGGCTGGACTGCAGTGGCGCGATCTCGGCTCACTGCAAGCTCCGCCTCCCGGGTTCACGCCATTCTCCTGCCTCAGCCTCCCGAGTAGCTGGGACTACAGGCGCCCGCCACCACGCCCGGCTAATTTTCTGTATTTTTAGTAGAGACGGGGTTTCACAGTGTTAGCCAGGATGGTCTCGATCTCCTGACCTCGTGATCCGCCCGCCTCGGCCTCCCAAAGTGCTGGGATTACAGGCGTGAGCCACCGCGCCTGGCCTCCCCTGTGTTTTTAAAGTTGGCCTGGAGATTGGTGATGACCATTGGAGATTGCATTACTTTTCCAACTGTGGCTTTCCACTAAAATTACAAAGGGAAATGTAGAAAGGAAAACGTGTGAGTGCGGGAACCAACAACAAAGATGATTTACATGAAGGAGGCTCTTAGAAAGAAAGCATCACACGAGTGCATGATGTTTAAGCTCTCAGCTAGCCCTTAGAGTGTAACTGCCTCTCCATCCTCCGCCCCGCATTCAGGGGTCCTCCCCAGGGGTCTCATAGCTCTGCCTCTCCTCCGTTACCAGGAGGTGCCCTGCTCATGCATCCTGCCCTCAGCAGACAGAAGATCTCTCTCGACTTCTCCAACTCTTCTTGTGCCATCCACACAATCTTGCCTTCAACTATTATTTTATTTTATTTTTTAGGAGGTAGGGTCTTGCTCTGTTGCCCAGGCCAGAGTGCAGTGGTGTGAACAGGGCTCACTGCAGCCTCAATCTCCTGAAGTTCAAGCCATCCTCCCACCTCAGCCTCCATAGTAGCTGGGACTACAGGTGCGTGCCACCACACCTGGCTAATTTTTATATTTTTTGTAGACACGGGGTTTTGCTGTGTTGCGCAGGCTGGTCTTAAACTCCTGGGCTCAAGCGATGCCCACCTCAGCCTCCCAAACTCCTGGGATTACAGGCATGAGCCACCGTGCCCGGCCTTGCCTTGATTGAAAACAATGGAGTTGTAGAAGCCTTTACGTAGCCCACAGCAGGCCACAGGTATTTGCTATCACTGTCATTCATCCTTAGGGCACAAGATTTTGCTCAACAACTGTATGCTTCCTTTAAACTTTATTCTGCTGATGCATACTAGTAGTCATCTTTCTCCCCCTCTCAAAAATTAAACTTTTTTCAGTTAAAAAAAACTAAAAGAAACAAAGAAACATTTTTTACTCTCATTCATTTTCAAGAACTCATTCTACATTTTCCAGACACACCAAGAAAGCACTTAAAAATGTAATGCACTTAATTTTCAAACTCATGTGTTTGATGTATGAAGCTTTACTCTAACAATGGAATTTTCATTTTTCTAATCCTCTTTATTTTAATCCAGACATGAAGATTTTAGAAAATGTTCTGCCCGTGTTGAGGCTTACGCAGAAACCACCCAGCAAGCAGGACCCTGGCCGGATGTTCTTGTTTGACTGGTTTCTGACTAAACACTGATCTGCTTCTTCAGTATCTTCTGTCTGAATAAAGGAATATTTAGAGTCTGACTCAATGTGTTACTCATAAATCCTAAAATCTCCAACTTAAAAAATATATTTAGGATGGATCTTAATTTAGCCCACTTTTTAAAACCTCATAAACCTCATTTATTTTTCTTATTTTGCATTTTTAAATAGGGAATAAGTGTACGATTCTAATTAAAAGGGTAAATTCTGCCATATACAAATAATTCTTAGAAGCTGAAATTCTCCAAATGCACTTTTCTTCTTGTAATAAAAATATAATGAATTCCTCGAGATGACTTTGCCATGTACATCAGTCTTTGAACGTGAGAAAGCAGAATATGTGTGAGATGACGGGTGTGTAATTTGGGTTCAAATGCGGTGTTGATTAATCTGTTTTATGTTGATTGTTCTCATTTCAATTCTGGATTTTTCTCATTTTAATTCTGGCTATTCTCATGTCTTTTCTGACCACCGTGTATTCAAAATGCTCATGCACAGCTACTGTGGACATCTAAACCTTGAGGCACTTTAGACAAGAAAGTATCGAATAGGCTTTGGTGAAGAAAGAACAAAGATTATTAAATTATTAATCTGGAATAGGTTGTTTTAAATTATAAACTTTGCAAGTGGCTCATATATGATAGAAGCACACATATGAATACATAAGGCCCTTCATATATATATATATATATATATATGTATACACACACACATATGTGTGTATATATGTATACACACACAAATATAATACATGTATAACTATTTTATCATTTTTGTGTACATAATTAAAAGCTATAAAGGAATGGTTATAGCTGCTTGTATCTGTTGCATATTCATCATAATAGGCCAATAAATTAATGTTAATTCAACATTTTGGACTTAACACTGTAATGAGAAATAAAATTTAGTTCGTATGAAAATCAAAGTGACATTTTCAAAAAGAAAGTCATTTAAGGTTTTTATAACTTGGAATCATTGAATTAAATAGTTCAAATATTTCTGATCCTGAGTGAAAAATACCTATTTTTACATAATTTTAGTTATTAACATATATTATGATTTTTTGTTAATCATTACATAAAATATTTGATGTTTCCGTTATGACAAGACACAGTGAAAATTACTACAGAATAAGGATGCTTCGATTAGAAATTGTCGATGGAAGAGCATTTCCAGCTTTACATTTTTAACTGAGTAGCTTAATCTGAAAGATTTTTTATTTTTTGTTGTTGTTTGTTTTGTTTGTTTGAAACGGAGTCTCCCTCTGTTGCCCAGGCTGGCGTGCAGTGGCGCGATCTCGGCTCACTGCAAGCTCTGCCTCCCAGGTTCACGCCATTCTCTTGCCTCATCCTCCTGAGTAGCTGGGACTACAGGCACCCGCCACCACACCTGGATAATTTTTTGTATTTTTACTGGGGACGGGGTTTCACCGTGTTAGCCAGGATGGTCTTGATCTCCTGACCTCCTGATCCACTCACCTTGGCCTCCCAAAGTGCCGGGATTACAGGCGTGAGCCACCGCGCCCCCCCTGGTTTTCTGTTGTTGTTTTGTTACTTTTGGTCTAGGGAAAAAAGAGATATGCCTATTTGTTTATGATTTTTAAGATTCCTCATATCTAAGGAATTCAGTTAAAATACATATGGCTAGCAATTTTGAGTTCTGCGAGGTGATGGTTTTCTTAGCCTATTTCAGATAGATTTTTCCAGCTGGGGATGCACTCCCAGGTCCCAGGAAGACACCGACGAGGAGCCAATCGTTGGGGGGCTTGTCGCTGACCCGCTCAGATAAGGTCCTTCAAGGACCGTGATCCCAATTCATCCGCAGAGAAGAAAATGGGGGAGAGTTGAATCACAAAGACACAAGGATTGTGTCATTGGAAAATGTACACTCAAGGCAGTTTAAGAAATGATTGTATTTGCTGATTTTTCAAAGAATGCTAAAACATATATATATGTATATATATGTATATATGTATATATATGTGTATATACGTATATATATGTATATATATACGTATATATATATGTATATATGTGTGTATATATATGTATATATATATACGTATATATGGACATGTACGCATACACGTACATACACACCACAACAGAGAGAAATGCATTTGATCCCCCTCAGAACTGGTGCACTAGCTAGGAAGGAAACCAGCAGCTGGACTCACCTAGTGAAGTAGCTTTGAGCAGAACCTGTGAAGAGTGGTAAGAAGCAGGGAAAACAGCACACCCAAATCAGCTTTCATATGCTAAGGCTTCCTCGTAAACTAATGTGGCATTTGCACAAAACATTGTAATCCTTGTCATCAGTTGGGTACTAACAAAATGTAAAAATTTTGTTTATACTTCATTCCATCTCTTCATTCATCCATCTGTCCATTATCCACCCCCTTTTTTTTTTTTTTTTTTTGAGATGGAGTCTTGCTCTGTCACACAGGCTGGAGTGCAGTGATGTGACGTCAGCTCACTGCAAGCTCCGCCTCCCGGGTTCAAGCGATTCCCCTTCCTCAGGCTACCGAGTAGCTGGGATTATAGGTGTCCACCACCGCGCCTGTCTAATTTTTGTATTTTTATTAGAGATGGGGTTTCACCATGTTGGCCAGGCTGGTCTAAAACTCCTGACCTCAGGCGATCTGCCCACCTCGGCCTTTCAGAGTGCTAGGATCACAGGCGTGAGCCACGGCGCCTGTCCAATCCGCCCATTTTTTTGTAAGAATATTGTAGAGATTTTTGTCCCCGGTGGTCCACGGACCTGGACTGCCCATCTTGTCTCCTTAGTATGGAAATAGTGTCATCTAGTGGCCTTTATAACTGCAGCCCAGCTCCCCCACCTGCTTCCTGGAGCCATGGCTGGTCAACTGTTCTATGGGATGCAGTGGCTCAGGCACCCATCACCCCATCATGTGGCAGCTGCTGTCCACTGAAAGTACACTTAAAAAATGAGTGAACCAGCTTCCTTATGTAGAATGGTTTTCTGCCAGGACAGTTGTTTGAAATTGGCAGTTATACAAATGGGTCCATTTTATACAATACTTGAGTAGCTGGAATAGAGACTGCAACTCTTAAATAGGTGTAGGAAGATTTTTAGACCATTTCATCATAATTCCATTTTTTTTCTTCTGAGGCCTGAGAAGATGTCATAACCAGCTTCTCTAAACTGCTTCGTGTTCACCGCTTTTGCCACTGAGAGGAGATCGGGTACCAGGCACTGTGGTGTGCATGCCCTTTGTGGGCAGTTGTCATTTTTGAAAGCAATTTGAGCTCTTCTAAATTCTCTCCACACACTGGCCCATGTCCCGGAAGGGCTCCGATCTTTCTTGCGTGGGCAGGATTGCCAATCCTCATTCTGATTCCTGACTGCAGGGTTCGTGCATGGATCGCGGGATGCCCGTGTGAGTGGGTTATTAGGGCCTTTCAGAAACTCGATTGTGCTCGAGCGTCCGTAAAGACCACTGGAGCCTCTGCCTTCCCCGCGGCTATTTCTAACTGCCCAGGCATCCAACGAGCAAACAGGGCCAGCAGCAAATTATCCCGTGGACATCTCATCCTACTGAAACATGATGAGACTGTTTTGAAGCTTCCTGCCTAAAACATATTTATGTTATCTTCAGAGTGAAAATCCTGCAATTTGACTTGCATAGCATTGACATGACTTCAAAATAAAATAGCTTCCTTTCCTAATAATTGAGTTAGCTCTACAGTGTAAAAGTCGATAGAACAAATATTGCTGAGAAAAGCAACTTTCCATTGATTTGTTCAGGAATAGACTCAACAAGTATGTACATACTACCCAGAGAAAAGCCATGCTTTGCTTTCAGAATCAAAACATTTTAGGGGAATAGTGTAGGATTAATCTTCAGTTTTTGCATCAGGCACCGGAGTATGCTGAAAACAAAATTAAACATAAATTATAACTTTACATAAAAGAGTTTGGGAAGGAAATAGATGACAGAGGCGTAACTATAATAATGATTATAACAGGATTTCTTTAATTTTCAGTCAGCATTATACCTCGTTTGTCACTTATTAACACCTAATTTTCTTTATTGAACTGTTACTTTATGTACTCCCAAAACCATGGAACAAATATTGATCTAACACCTCCCAGGCATTAGGCAATATCATGTATTAATAAACTGTGTTTTCACTTACCTCATTTCTGATTCTACCAAGGACAAAACACCTTCTTTATTTAATCTTTTCTGCTTAAAATGCAAAATAACCTTGAATGAGTTTTTCAAAGCTCCAAAATGAGGAAAATGCATTCGATTATGTTTTTATAAGGTCAATACTTTAAAATTTTTGATCAAAACTTCTTCTAATGCCACTTTGAATTACGGTTTCAAGTGTTTTGCTGGGTAAGCAGCATATTACATAGCCAGATTTTTCTACCATTTGATCCACTGACTTTATTACACTGTGTTTTGTGTTTTATGTAACGAACTAGAAAATCTCTTTAAATGGAGGTTTTCTCATCTGCTCAATTACGGTGATAATGCATACAGCTAAGGCTGTTTGGAAAATCCAATGAACTTATCTCTACACTCTCTGGCAGGTCGCGGATTCTCAGTGATGTTTCCCTTCCCTTCCCTTCCTAACTGCGTGTTTCATTCATAGTCATGCAGAGGGACTATCGATTTACCTTGAACACACCTTTTTATTATAAAACTACATTCTTGCTTTTTACTATGCATGCTTAATATTTGTATAGTTAATTATATGTTTACCAGTTCAGTTCTTTTCAATTAATTCTTGCTTATCTTTGTAATGTACATTAATAATGGGAAAAATATCTTTGGTTATCTAAACAGACGGCTTAAACCATCATTTCTGATCACCCTTTATGGAATGACCTTTCTTCAGGGATTGCTTTTGCAATGGTACATAATCTCTGGAAGTCCGTGTTTGTCTTTGTTTCTGCGGCATAAAATAAAATGAGATTCTTCAGTGGCAATAAACTATGAAGTCATCCAACATAAAACAATTTATCTCGGCTAAAAGAATGTGGCATAGAAAGTAGATGTTTTTCCGAAGCATCATGCTGTACAATAAGTCTATCTTTCACATAGTATATATATTAAGTAAGTTGTATTTTGCAAAACATAAAATGTTCTACATTACAGATCATTATTCCTGAAAAGAACACTTGTGTCATAGAAACTCCGTGTCAAGTCAAGCGAACTTGAAATGACTCATGAATAGCAGCAGTTATTCCCCTTAGAAATATTTGTGACAAGTAATCTTCATAAACTATTTCTGATCTAAAACAAACAAATTAAAACAAACTTAAGAAATACATTATCCAGTTGGACTCATAGTGAGATAAATTGGATTTTTTAACATAAGAAAGTGATTCTTTAAGAGGAGTTAGAAGATGGGAATATTTTAGAGTAGTTTGATATTTCAGTGTTCAGAGAAATATACTACTAAGGCCGGGCACAGTGGCTCCCACCTGTAATCCCAGCACTTTGAGAGGCTGAGGCAGGTGGATTGCTTGAGCTCAGGAGTTCAAGACCAGCCTGGGCAACATAGCCAAACCTCATTGCCACAAAAAATGACAAACATTAGCCAAGCATGGTGGCACATGCCTGTGGTCCTAGCTCCTTGGGAGGCTGAGGTGGGGGATGGCTTGAGCCCAGGAGGCAGAGGTTGCAGTGGTCCAAAATTGTGCCACTGGACTCCAGCCTGTGTGACAGAGCCAGACCTTGTCTCAATTAAAACCAAACCAAAACAACAACAACTACAAAAAACAGTTAAGAAAATTATACAAGAAGCATTAAAAAGAAAGATATTTTGATGTCTACTGTTATATAACAGGGTATTTGTTTCTTTACTCAACAATAAGCAAGATTCTACCTTCATTTTAAAGGCAGGTAGGTCAGATAAATAGAGAGAGTATATTTTATAACCTACTTCTAAATACAGTCTTGGCTTATTGGCTTGTCTCAGACAAGCTGCAATAAACAACTTGTAGCTTAATTATTCTGGTAGAGATTCTAAACATAGAACACAAGTGTGAAAACTCCAAACTCCTCGCTGGGGGAATTTCCACTTTTCTACGTGGACTCAATGTTAGTTCCTGTGAGAGCTCTTCTTTGATGAAATTCAATTCATATAGGTTTGGTCTCTCTGTATTGATTTCTTTATCTGAAAAACAGCACCTAACTGAAGCCCTGGACAAATAAGAAAAATGAAAGAATTATAGACTCCTTGTCTACCTGCAGTGGCGTCATGAACCAGTCAGTGACCCTGGACTTTTCAAAGACAAAAGAAACCTCAAAGTCCTTTCTGACAATGAAACACAGTTACAAAAGTCAAGAGATTTTGTCTATGGAAGGGTCTGGTGTGCTTCTGGAAAAATACACACGCCTACTCCAAGAATATGCAATGTACGAATCTGTGCATCCCATAAACACTGAACATGTAATACGCATTTGACATTATGCTAATTGTTTGAAATAAGACATTATCTTGCCATCTAGCCTCTTACAATACAATGTGGGGAGCAACTAGGAAAGTGATTCTCATTTTAGATATTAATTATTAATCAATAGTAAGACCTATTCCCAGAGATAATAATTGCCAAGAAAAGAGTGAAGAGCCCGAGGTCTTGATGAGTACAGGGCAACTGTAAACAAGATTCATTTTGATATAAGCAAATAGTTTTTTATTAAGCTGAAGAAAAATCTTAGTGAAAGTAAAATCACAGTGTGTTCGATGGAGAAGATGGGGCAGAAGCTGTTGCCCACAGATAAAAGTGCTCAACAATCCACCCTTCTCTGAATGCCTTCCCTTCTTCATTCCATCCTCAACTTCCCTATAGATGCCTCTAGAATCATCTCTCAAATAAACTGCTGGTTTTTCAGTTCTTTCTTTGTATACACCACCTCAGATACATTTTTGTGGTGGCCCTCCGTATAAAAAGGGTTAAGTCCATTTGTCCTGAGTAACCTGGGGGCTGCCATGTTGAATTCTCTTTGTCAAGGTCATTCTTAGAACCGAGGGCATCATTAGAATTGTGTAGTGGGAGCAGCGGAGTTCTGGGAGGACCTCATTTTCTCCTCCTTGTGTCCTCATCCAGTGTCCCTGTCCCACCTGTTGACTGGTGCTCCCTCGTCCTTTGCCCTTGCCTTCACCTACCTGGCATGAGCTTTGCCTGAACAATTTGGCAATGCCCTGATCATTGTTGCCATGAGATAGCTGCAATTCGAACCTGTGCCTCATCTCTTCCCGTGCTCCTGAATCTCCTTTTCCCCTTATCTTGTGGCTATGCAATTCTGCTCTTGGTAAATGTTTGAAGGGAAAAGTATGTTGTGAGGTCTCATTGGCTTGGGACGAGCTTCACATTGTCTGAGACCTTTACCACGGCTGGAGAGGACAGAGGATACATGTTGAAAGCCATGCCTGCTGAGTGACTGCAGACAGGGCAGGTTGGCAACACAAGTCATCCAGCAGGTATGGCCACGTCTCTGAAATGACTGCTGCGTAGCAGTCTCAGTGCACTTCATGGAACTTGTATTCAAACTTTAAGCGATTTTTGTGGCGGGGCTCAGACGCTGTTCCTGACAGACAGCAGCATCGGTCAACACCTCTTCATGCCATGAGACAAGTGTTCTCATCACTTATATCAGACATTTCAGCCCAAAGACATTTACTAGAGTTTTTGAATAGAGAGATTTAGGTGAAGTGTTTCTATTTGTTTCCTATTTCTACCAACCCAGAACATAAACCATAATACTTGGCTAAAGACATTGAGTGTTTTACTGATATTAGTTCATTTTCTTAGCCTGTGCGTGACAAGTATTGCTTCTTTAAGTATGGTTTAGGCCGACTTAGAAAGAAGACTGATGCTTGCAATAATCAAAGTCTTCAGAAACTTTTAAAGCTGTGTTATCAGCAAAAGGCCAATTAACTAATTTTGAATATCTAGACAGTAAAAGTGAAGTGTCTCTGAATGGTGCCCATTGAATTCAACATAAAATATGATCAGTATTAATTAACAGTACAAAGTAAGACCACAAATATTTACATTATGCTTTCAGCAGATATCTGGTAGTTCTCACTGAGATAATTCGACAAAAATATGGATTTTCTTGTTGTTGACATGACAGGAGGGAATCTGATTAAAAAAAAAACTTTCGCAATGAAACTAAATCTAACACATTAGAAATTCTCCAATTTGACAAATTGCATTTTAATAAGAGGCATCATATGAGAAAAACATGTTGATAATTATTTCTGATCAGATGCTACCCTGTTGCTAGCAATGTGAATCCTCATTGCTACAATCATTCAGTTATCCAGGGAGACTTCAGATTGTCTGTTACATATTTTGAAGTGTATTCCAGAGTTTTGTTGTTATTGTTGTGGGGCAGGTTTGTTTTTCATTGAAATAAAGTAAATGTACCATTTGCTCCAAATTTATTACGTATTTCCAGTGTAATTATTACCTAAAGTTTTATGTAGAACAAACCCATTTAAAATCAGAAATGCATAGGATAAAATACTTTTCCCTCCTAAACACTGACAAAATAATTATAGTCCATTCAAATGGAAAATATTCACCAAGATATTTTTTTCTATTCCCATCAGTATCTGAATATTGACAAACGTTGTCTGTTTTGAAGTGGTCAGTGTTTTTACACATCAGAAGCTGGGCTCAGAATGTGCTTTTATGGAGGTATAATTGGTATACAAAAACCTGCATATATTTAATGTATGCCATTTGATGGGTCTGGACAGATGCCAACACCCGTGAAACCATCAACGCAATCCAGATGATAGACACATTGAATACCTCTGAAAGCTTCTTCTAGCGTTTTTATTTTAGACCTGTGGTTGCCTAACTTCAAAGACCTTTACAGGTAGCAACACAGTGACAAGAGGACCAGATCCAAGCTGTCACTCAGACTTTAATCCTTGCAGGTGCCTCTCTCTGCTGTCCTCCTCCCTGAGGTGGACTCTAGACTCACCTGTGCCATCCTCAGCCCCACAGTCAAGGGCTGCTACTTAAAGAATCTGTCACTCTGCAGGGGCAAAATTTCCAATCCTCCCAGGTCACATTTTGTTAAGTTTGATCATTCCTTCCATTTGTCAACTAATGAAAAAAATCAGCCTTTTAAATAATTAAAATTAGTTTTGGCTGGGTGTGGTGGCTCACACCTGTAATCCCAGCATGTGGGGAGGCTGAGGCAGGCAGATCACAAGGTCAAGAGATCGAGACCATCCTGGTCAACATGGTGAAACCCCATCTCTACTAAAAATTAAAAAATTAGCTGGGCATGGTAGTGCATGCCTATAGTCCCAGCTACTCAGGAGGCTGAACCTGGGAGGTGGAGGTTGCAGTGAGCTGAGATTGTGCTAGTGCACTCCAGCCTGGTGAAAGAGCGAGACTCCATCTGAAAAAAAAAAGAAAATTAGTCCTATTCAGAGTCCTACTGATGACTGCGATCCAGGCAAGTCTTTTAGAGAGTTTCTGTCGGATTGCTCCAAAGCAGAATTTCAGCCCGCAGCTTCTCTGCTGGCGGTGGGGGTTCTGCAGATGCTCAGGGTTTCCTTTAGAGCAAAGCTCATCAATGTTTGGGTGCAAGAGTCCATCGGTTATAGATGGCAGAGGCATAATCTCTAATCCTGGTGGATGTTGTCTTATGTACAGAAAAAGGCCAGGTCTAGGATCATTGGACTTATATCTACTTTTTTTTTTTTTTTTTTTTTTTTTTTTTTTTTTTTGAGATGGAGTTTTGCTCTTGTTGCCCAGGCTGAAGTGCAATAGCACTATCTTTGCTCACTGCAACCTTCATCTCCTGGGTTCAAGCAATTCTCTTGCCTCAGCCTCCCAACTAGTTGGGATTACAGGCATGTGCCACAACGCCCCGCTAATTTATTTTAGTTAGTAGACATGGGGTTTCACCATGTTGGTCAGGCTGGTCTCGAACTGCTGACCCCAGATGATCCACCTGCCTCGGCCTCCCAAAGTTCCAGGATTACAGGCTTAAGCCACCATGACCGGCCTGGACTTATCTTTTCTAAAAATGCATTGATTTAGGCAAAAGAGCCATGGGGACCAACGCTCTTCCCTTATTGCCCGTGGGACATTCTTCCGGAGGGCTGTGCTCAGTCACTGCGTCAGGGGTTTATGAAGTTATGCAGAAGGGCAAAATGTGCCTGGGTGGCTTCATGGCAGACGCCAACCCTGTGGCTGGTCAGAGGCAGGTGTTTGCTTTCTCTCACACATCAAAGCCGCTGTCTCCAAGAAACTTTTCCCATTTCTTTTGGACGTTGTTCTGTTTTCACTTTGCTAAATTAGAAACTATGGATTGTTTTTTGCCAGACTATTGCATATTTATAATATGAACCATTCCATAAATAAATACATATTTAACATGTGTGTGAACAGTGGCTGTGAGATACAATAATGATATTAAAATAAACATCCATGAAGCCAGAAACCAGATCACAAAACGCAACATTACCGATGCCCTTACATCCCCAGTGAGCACCATTGATCCTTATGTCTGTGCTGTTTATTCTTTAAAATACTGCTTATTCTTTTAAAATATATATGGGCCAGAATCTCCAAGTCGTCTGTAAATATTTAGAGGTCGTAAAGTTCTTCCTTATCCCCGTGTGCCTAATGAGTAACGATCACTCAAAAAATACTTGCTCGTTTGTTTGTATGACTAAACCACTTATTAGGTTTATACAGTTTCTGCTAGGATTATTTGGTTTATTCTTACCCAGAATTTCAGTTCACATTGGTGACTTTCTTCCCCATTTTATGTTCATAATTTCTTCCCAAGGGGTACCACTGGACATCTTTGCTTTAGAAACATAAACATAGCAACTTTCACCTCTCGTATTGAAAACTCTACAACACCTTCCAATCTCTCTCGTGATACAAGCGAGATTCTTGGCTGTGTCCCCAGAAGTTCTCCCCCAAGCCCTCCCTTCCTGGGTAGATCTCAGCCTCACTCTGAGACACAGAGTCTCAGACACATAATCAACTGAGAATCCTGTGAACCACAGAGATTTGTTTCTCGCAGTTCCGGAGGCTGAAAGTCCAAGATCCAGGCAGATTTGGTGTCTGGTGAGGCCCCCTTCCCGCTTCCTAGATGGCGCCTGTCACTGAATCCTCATATCCATCCGGAGGGGTGAGGGAGCTCTCTGAGGGCCCTTCGGAAGGACCCTAGTCCCATTTGTGAGGACTCCACCTTCACAACGCCATCACCTCCCAAAGCCCAGCCTCCTAATACCAACACTTCCGTGTTAGGATTTCAACAGGTATCTGAGGGCTCGAACGCGAGGCCCTTTGAACCCTGCCATGGTGGCACTCCCTGCTCCTGGCCCCTTACCACTGCTCCCAGGGTCAGAGAGCACATTCCCCCCGGCCTGGCCCTCCTGGCCCTTCTGCCCGAGATTCTCTGCTGCGGGTCTCACCCCGCTTTCCAGGCAGGTCCAGAGCTCCCTGGATAACACAGAAACCCGGCACTCTAGCCGCTGCTCTCCTACTCTCTTCTTTATTTTTACACATAGTACTTATAATCATGCAACTTTCTAATATCTACAAAATGTACCAATGTATTTGTTATCATCTGTCTCTCCCGCAAAATGAATTTTCCCGTTTTACTTATTCCTCTGTTCCCAGATCTAGAAAAGCACCTGGCACATACTAGCACAAAACAAATATTTTTTAATTAATTGGATAAACATAAAATGCTTAACGAGGCTGTGAAAAGCTGGAGCAAATCATTAAATTGAGTATGACAACCAGCGCCAGTTTACACAAGCTACTTTATGTAGTAAAATAAAATAAAATTAACATAATTAATGAAACCTTAAAACAGAGATCTAATAATTATATTAATTGGGCCCATAAAGTTGTCATAAATGCTATTTTTTTTTTGCCATGAACACACTCTACAAGGATGGTTTTCTTTTGTATGTAAGAAAATTCATAAACATTAGGCACATGTGCTTATTTTCAGACGTTTTGTGAAGAGTGGGTCATTCTTACTATGGAAGTAATTTTGATGTTGAGTGAATCATGTATATGAAAGAAACAAGGAATTCTCTCTCTCTCTTTTTTTTTTTTTTTTTTTGTTTTGAGACGGAATCTTGCCCTGTCACCCGGGCTGGAGTGCAATGGCATGATCTTGGCTCACTGCAAACTCCGCCTCCCGGGTTCCAGCAATTCTCCTGCCTCAGCCTCTTGTGTAGCTGGGATTACAGGCGCCCGCCACCAGGCCCAGCTAGTTTTTTTGTATTTTTAGTAGAGACGGGGTTTCACCGTGTTAGCCAGGATGGTCTCAAACTCCTGACCTCGTGAACCACCCGCCTCGGCCTCCCAAAGTGCTGGGATTACAGGCGTGAGCCACCACGCCCTGCCGGAATTCTCAAATAGTAAGCCTCAGCCTGTTTAATGATCTCTCCGACATTATTTAATAAATCAAGAACAGGTGCTGAGTGCCACATTCAACACTCTATGAGACTGAAGCATAAAAGAGATGGTTTCCTATTGGGAGTGTTGGGTGAAGGGGGAGATAAAGAAAAGACAGCGTGTGCGCTGCCCACTCAGAGCAGCGTGATCGTGTACAATAATGACTTAGCAAGCAGGCCAGGCGCGGCAGCTCACACTCGTAATCCCAGCACTTTGGGAGGCAGAGGCAGGGGGATTGGTTGAGGGAAGGAGCTCAAGACCAGCCTGAGAAATATAAATGAGACCTCTTCTCTACAAAAAAAATTAGCAAAACATATTTAGCAAACAAATGACCATGGGCTGAAGCCAATGGGGACGTGTTCTCTATGGAGCTGGGATAGGAGCTGTGCCTCAAGGAGGAGGCCAGCTCATAAAACAGCAAGACCCCAGCACTGGCATAGAGACCAACAGCCCCTTTTTCAGGAGAGAAAAGGTGGTCTGCAGAGGGAGAGGGCCCTGGAGCAGAGGCTTCTCTGTGATGCTGTGGGAAAGTTGTCTATTTCCAAAGGAAGGGAAGGGTGATTGAGGGACATGCTTTGTAGGATTCAACTAATTATGTAACTAAACAATGTCTCATTATTTTTCAGATAAGTAATGTGTATATATTATTCCACTTCAACCAGTGAGGCCACAACATGATTTACATGACTATTTCTCAACCATTATATTTAGATAGAGAGATAGATACATATGTAAATAGAGCTAGAGAGATGATAGGTGATAGATTACATAGAGTTAGATCAGTAGATACATAGAATAGCTGCACAGATAAAATATAAAAATTATCATGATTTAACGGTAAGAATGTAGTTGAAAGTGTGGCATTGCTACAGGTTCTTTTTCTAAATTTTGTTACAATTGAGGAAAGAGAGAGATGGTGGGCAAAGGTCAATTAAAAAAAGGATTAAAAATAACTTTAGAAAAAAAATCAACATGCAATTGCATAGAAGGAAAAAGACTAGAATTTGAGTCAGTTTTAAAGAGAATTCTATTGCCAAACCTAACAAGCCTGGTGCAAATCCCCTCACTTTTCGTAGCCAAGGGTGCAGGGAGAAGCCACCTGCAAAGACCCTTGCAGCCCGTAACAAAGGCTTCCTCCCCAACACCCAGTAGTTAGGTGGCTTTAAAAGAAAACAGGCACAGAAATAACCTCCAAGGAAGCAGAGTCATGTTCCATGAAGCACACTGGAGAGGGACAAAAAATTAGCCGGGCGTGGTGGCGGGCACCTGTAGTCCCAGCTACTCCTGAGGCTGAGGCAGGAGAATGGCGTGAACCTGGGAGGCGGAGCTTGCAGCGAGCTGAGATCGCGCCACTGCATCATTCCAGCCTGGACGATGGAGAGAGGCTCCGTCTCAAAAAAAAAAAAAAAAAAAAAAAAGAAAGAAAAGAAGAAAGAAAAGTCAGAGAACCTTCTCCCGTGACCATCGCCAGGGCGGAGAATCTTCACCAAGCCTGCTCAGCAATATCTGATTATCGTTGTGGAGCACAGACTGTTGCGTGCTTCCAATCCCCACCCTCTTTCTGAAACACAGTTAACGGTGTCCACTTTTCACGACCCATCAATGTGCGCTGGGCACTTGGTGGACAGGCATCTTGCCCAGCAATGTGTGTTTGTAGCAGACCACAGGCATCCAAGCATGACCCAGAGGACGCAGCCACCCCCAGGGATCTTAGATCTTGGGGTGATGATGTGAGAGGATGGAGTTTAATGTAGTCGCCCTCGAGAGGGAATGAATGTGCTCCACGTGTGAAAATGAAGCTACACACAGTTTATAAGGAGTGTTTCACAGATGGCTGCTTATTCCTTAGGTTTTTCTCCACTTGAACCCTCATGATGGAATTCCAGATGTCCTTGCAGTTCACCGTGGCCACGCGCCTACGTCATAGCCAAGGGGAACTGAGTGGCGCTCCCTCCAGAGGTTGTCTTTCCACGTGGGGCGTGGGCTCTTCTGGGCATTTTGGTTTCCTCCCTTTCCCACATGCAGGAATTTAGATGGCAGCCGCGCAGCCGTGACCGTGAAGACAGGAACAAGAAGCAGGGGCTGACAGAGCACCACGGTGGAACGAAGCTGTGTTACATCAAACTGGACTTCACAGAATTAACCCCTGGGAAAATGCAAATGACTTGCTGGAAACACACTGGATACTAACCCTAATACTTCCTTTCTCTTGCTCTTCTGTTAGCAGACCTAATCTCTAAACACAGTTAGTATAATGCTTGCTTCCCTGGCAGCTCTAACAATTCCTACCCTGTTGACATCCCAGTAGCTTTGATGGGAACCGCTAATGCCCGTGTGGACCTCCTCTGGAGACGGGCAATTGCAGTTTTCTAAAATGCATTGAAATAGGATTGAAACTCGAGTATTTAATAGAAATTTCTCACATTCCCATTTCCCTTCACTAGCATGAAAATGACCTCCAAATAAATGATTTTATTTATTTTATCTCAGAGCTCTCCTTGCATTGCACCTTTATTTCATAGAAAATTGATCTGGTCCTTGAAAAGGTCAGCCAATCCTTGGGAGAAATTTTGTGATTTATTATTGATGTATACAGGAGTGGACCGAGGTGATGCTTGGCACACAGCACTGGTGATGGTGCTGACTGGACCTTACGAGCTTGGATTTTCATTTTCTTCTCCATTCTCCTTATGCTTAGGAGTACTCCTGTGTTACTTGTGCTATGCATTGCCCCACATATTCCTTTACAGTGGAAAGCTGTAGTTTTTGTTTTGCTTTAATAATACTCAACATAATAAAATATTTATATAGTGAATCTAAGGCTATTCTTACTATAAAGAAATTGCAGCCCTTAAATATTTGAACTACTTTTTTCAGTGTTCACATTTCCCGTTAAGAAAAAAAAACTAATTTTTTACATGCATCATCATTAATTAGTGTAGTTTAATTAGTGTTTAGCTAAAAAGTAAACAGGGACCTAAATTAAGTTTGTTAGACAGTGCTAGAATTTACTGGGCTCCAGTAAATTTCACCTGGGTTTCAGGCAGGAAGAAAGTAAGGATGTGTTTGGAAAAACTATTTTTTAATAAAGACTTATCTGGCTCTTTTATAATACTACATTTAATAAAGATTTGTCTGACTCTTTTATAATACTGTGCAAATCAAAACATCAGTAAGGAGTAAAATCCCTAAAAGCTGGTTGTTTAATGATGAAATTTGGCCAACGATTAAGCTTAATCATTTTTAAAATAACTAAATTCCATGAATAATATTTCCATGATTCTACATTGGGATGCTCCCAAATTACCTTAAAGGTTGTTGACATTAAAAACTCACCCTGTAGATATATGGGCTAAGTACTGAGAGTTACTGTATTTTATTATTGTTGTTGTTATTATTATTATTTTGAGACAGAGTCTGACTCCGTCACCCAGGCTGGAGTGCAGTGGCACAATCTTGGCTCACTGCAACCTCAGCCTCCTAGGTTCAAGCGATTCTCCTGCCTCAGCCTCCCAAGTAGCTGGGAAGACAGGCACACATGCACCAGCTAATTTTTGTATTTTTAATAGAGACGGGGTTTCACCATGTTGGCCAGGCTGGTCTAGACCTCCCGGCCTCAAGTGAACCACCAGCCTCAGCCTCCCAAAGTGCTAGGATTACAGGCGTGAGCCACCGTGCCAGGTTATGTTATAATTAATATTATCATTATTATTTTTCTTTAGTTATTGTTTGGTCTCAATGGCTTCCCAATCACCCACGTAATTTGCTCTGTACTAAGAGATACCTTTAATCACAGTTAGTACTACATAGCATTTAGTAATTCATTATTTCTTTTAAAAATTATTTATTATTTTTAGAGAAGGGGGTCTCATTATGTTGCCCAGGTTGGAGTGCAGTGGCTATTCACAAGCAGGATCATAGATCACCACAGCCTTCAACTCCTGGACTGAAGAGGTCCTCCCTTCTCAGCCTCCAGAGCAGCTGGGACTACACGTGTGCACCCCAGAGCCCGGCTGTAATTTATTCTTTCTGTACTCACACCTGGGACTGCGGACAACGTAATGATTGCCTATTCTGGTTGATTTTCTGCTTTAAGCAGAGATGGAAAGTGTTTGAGGTCAGTTTCAAATACCTTTAGGCTGTAAATTCCTAGGTTATCAAATTCTGTGTCATTGAAGGCATAGGAGCAAGACCAGATTGACTTTGTTGCATGAAGTCTACAAATAAATACTTGAGATTACCTGGGAGAAAAGGGACAGTTACGGAGGAACAGGGGCAGTGATAATGGGCACCGTCTGTGGGGTTTTCCCGAAGGGTAAACGCAGAGCCCTGGGAGAAAAGGAGGCTGGCTGTACAGTAGCTGGCACCACTAAGAGTTGGGTTGTGGTGTGGGATTACCCTGCTCAGGATTTGACAGATTACAGATATTCTTCCAAATAAAAGAGGCTTTCTAAAAAAAAAAAGTGGATCCTACGAACACTCATTTATACTCTCAATCAAAACAATTCACTTGGGAATTGGCCAGGCACGGTGGCTCATGCCCGTAATCCCAGCACTTTGGGAGGCTGAGGCAGGCAGATCACCTGAGGTAGGGAGTTCGAGACCAGCCTGACCAACATAGGGAAACCCCGTCTCTACTAAAAACATACAAAAAATTAGACAGGCGTGGTGACGAGTTCCTGTAATCCCAGCTACTTGGGAGGCAGAGGCAGGAGAATTGCTTGAACCCTGGAAGCGGAGGTTGTGGTGAGCCGAGATCATGCCATTGTACTCCAGCCTGGGCAACAAGAGTAAAACTCTGTCTCAAAAAAAAAAAAGAAAAGAAAAGAAAAAATATTGGGAATTATGCTCCTTACCAAAAGTCTCACTCAGTTCTCTTCCTGTGATTTTCACAGAGTGGTTTTGCCTAATGATAGCAAGTAATTCACTCTAATCCTCCCAAGAAAAGATGCAGAGGCTGAGAAGGAGTGAGGAACAGGACAAATTGCCCAAGACTAGATTGAAGGGAATTATATCCCTAAATCTTCTGTGTTTCTCTTACCATTGACACTGCTGCCTCTTACTTGGAAAATGTTCACAGTAGGGACATTTTTTGAAAACCCAACATCAAGACTCATCTGGCCCAGGTTGTCTCTCTTCAGTCCCAAGTTCCTAAATCCCTTAATTATGTTTCCATTTTCTCCACTCTGGAATACGATTTTAATAGTGCACTTTTCTCTATAAGATAGCTGATTCTTATCAAGGAAAAGACATTTAGGAAAAAAACAAAATAAAATTACAGCTGACTAGTGTATTAGTTTGCTAGGGCTCTTGTGGAAGTCGCTAAACTGAGTGTCTTAAATCACAGAACTGTATTCTCTTACAGTCCTGGAGACTGAAAGATCAAGGTGTCAACAGAGTAGGCTGTGAGGAAGAATGCAGGTTTTTCTCCGAACTACTGGGATTTTTGGTGATCTTTGGCGTCCCTGGGCTTGTAAATGGCCAACCTCTGCCTTCTTCTTCAGGTGCCATTCTCTCTGTATACACATGTCTCTCCAAACTTTCTTTTTCAAAATGACAGCAGTCGTCAGGGGCCCACCCTGCTCCAATATGACCTCATCTTAACTAATTATATTGGAAACAACTCTATTTCCAAGTGAGGTCATATTCTGGAGTACTAGAGATTAGGATTTCAGCATCTGAATTGTGTGGTGGGGACACAGTTCAATTCATAACAACCATATACATTAAAATCATTAAATTACTCTGTCTCCTTGTTTTTAGTATGTCATTAAATAGTATGAGAAATATTTCACTTACCTAAAATGAATACTCCTTCTTTTTTCTAAGAAAATAGTTTATCTTCTTTGAGTGAAAAGAAATTCCCCTTATTTCTCAAAAGCAACTTCCTGTGGAAGATCAAGAACTCTTTCCTTCCTTTGTATTTAGAAATGTATTTTTAATTTAATGTATTTCCTAAGGATTTGAAAAATGTAATGTTTGTTTTTTACAGCAAGATGAAAAATACACCCCTGACAGCATCCACCAGATTTCACCTTGAGGCTATGTGGGCTTCAACAACTTTACAACTCAGAGATTGTTTCTGTACTACATTCAGGGTAAAACCCAGAAGACTATTCACATGTAACAAAAGCACATCCACTGAATATCTTGGGCTCCCGAAACTATTGCATTATTAAGAGTGACTTTTAATAACTTGTACATGTTCACTTTCCAGCTCCATTCTGAAAATAAAGGCACTAAATGTGGGTATTAAGTTAGAGAAATAGAAATAATTCAATGGCTTACTTCACATAGCCACAATCCACCGCAGGCATGTAGAAGCAGCGTGACAATTTCTTTGTATCCATGTGAAAGGAAGCAAGTGTAATTCCCATTCTCTCCATGATCTCTTTTCCAAACCACCTAAAGTGGACACCTCTCTCCTCTACAAATCAAATGTTTCATGCTTTTATCTGTATTCAACTATTCACATCTTTATTTTCTATCTAGATCTTGATTCTATGTTAAAAACAGTGTTTTATGTTTTTGGCCAAGTATTATTTTAAAATTCATAAAAAGCTTTTAATGATATGAATGAATACATAGTGCTAAAAGAGGAAATAAAAAATATATTGTTATTCGGGTTATATAGTTAAATATCCCACTTAAGGAAACTGATTAGAGGAAGTCTGGGATGGTTTTTCTCAAGCATCTGATATGAAATCATTAACAGTGGCTGCCTCTGGACTGTGGTATCATACAAATATTTTATTTGATTCTTTAAATCTTTAATATTTTGCAAATCTTATGCCACATAATATTTTATACATAGATTAGTTTATAAACACTTGAAACACTGCTTTGAAAGATAAAATAGAAAAACAAGGGAAAGAAGAGAGGATGGGCCAGCCAGCTCAGCAAGCATCCTCTTCATTTATGCCGAGTGCCTCCTCTGTGCTCAACAAGAGATGCACAGGTGAGGCCCTGAGAACCAGGACTCTGGTTGCAAGAGGCAGACAAGCCAAGTACAAATCCCATTTCCCACAGACAGTTCTGGCATCTTCCACATCTCACGGTGCTCTGCAAGGTGACCTTGGTCCTCCTCCAGTCAAGGGGTGGGGGCTGCATCTCCTTCCCTGAATCTGGGAGGGAGGCTTGTGAATCTCCTGAAATGAGTAAAGTGTGGACTGCATGACTGTTGACATTATTTTTGAGAAGGTGACACACCTGCTACCTGTTCTCAGGAGTCGTAGCACCCAGGCCCTGAGAGCATTGCAGTGTGAGGGAGCAGGGCTGAGTGTAAAGGCTGAAAAGTGTTCCTTCCATGCCTCCAGCCCAAGTGCCAGACATAGGCATGCACCAGCCTGTGGATGAGGCCAGCTCCAGCCTTGGGGTCTTCCCACTGCAAACCCTAGACATTGTGGGCAGAAAGAAGCCACTCCGCTGGGCCCTTTTGAAATTCCTGACCCCCATGGTCCCTGGCATAACCAAAAGGTTGCTGCTTCATGCCACTAATTTTGGGGAGGTATGTTACACAGAAATAGTACCGAGAACACATAACTCAAACTGAATTAGGAAAAGCAAATCCATTCGCTGCAGTAGCTTGTCAATGACAGATTTTAACTCTGATGCGCTGTGTCCCTAACCAAGCTCTTGGATTTCCCTCCCCATTTGGTCTTCCGCAGGGTTAACTGTTTTATTGAGTCGTTTCCATGCAGACCAGATCCTGGCTATCAGCCGCAAAAAGTCATCCTCCTTTGCGCCCATCACAATACCTGATTCATTACCAGTGACTTTCCATTGATTCTTCTAAATTTGTAATGCATTCTTTTCTCTCCATTTTCACAACCTAATCAGCAAACTACTAAGCACGTCTGTCTCTGCAGGATGACAGCATAACCCTGGGACTAAGTTTCCAGGTCACTCTTGCTCTGCTCTATGTCGGCCAATTCTCTTTACAAAATGAAAATCTTATGTTACTTTTCCTTTCTTTTATCCTTCGTTCACTCTGACTGATCACAAAATTAATACTAAAATGTTTAAGATGTCCTTCGACGCCGAAGTCTACTCCATCCCTTCCTAGTCTCATGAGGATCTGCTACTCTTTGCCCTCATTACACAACTTTTCCTGGTTTCCTGAACGAGTTCTGCTGCTTCCCATCCCAGAATGATGTGCATGCTGTTTCCTGGAGAATGTCTTGGATTGATCTCCCACCCCTTTCTCATAATATATAATACACTTTTGTCCTAGTTAGAACTTGTCTTTCAAGTGTCAGGTTCTCTCACTTGCTTTGATACAACTTCCCTGAAGCCATTTCTTCAGTTTAAATGAGAACAAAGTAATATTTTATTCATGGAAGGAAACATTCAATGAAACATGACAAATATACCTTCCTTGACAAAAGAAGACTTTTCTTATGAAAAAGCAAACATGCATTGACATGTACGATGAACGCATAAAGAAATGTAGTCATTTTGAAGTCAACGAGATAATAAGCAGCAAAGATTTTAACTGACTTGCATGAGAAAGTGTGCCTGGCATGAATACTTAATATCCCATGAGGACTAAGTCCCTTTTCCTTGCATCAAATAAGTGCTGCTCTTAGAAGTCACCGAGAAGAGACTTCTAAAGTTGGAGAAGGAACATGTGCTAATTTCCCACATGCTTTAAATGACGAGGCTGCGCCTCGTGGAGGCTGTCCTGCTGCTCTCTGAGCTTTCACACAGGCTACCTTGCTCTTCTTCACAAACAGCCAACGTGTTTCAGATATGCGGAACGGAAGACAAACAGCTCCAGCAATGCATAAAAAGTTCCTTGGAGCTAATTCGTGGCAGATCGAGGAGAGGGCCCCGTGCATTTATCTGACATCCTCTATCCTATCATACCTGACACTTAACTTCAGATTCCATGAGCTTTCCTGTGCAAAATGACCTTCTATGTGCGGTACCCTGGGCTGACATTTTTATATACATTTTGCCATTGAACTATCACTGAACTCTGAGAGATAGGTGGCATGAATTGATGTGTGAAGGGAGGTCCACAGTAATTTAGTAAATATTTACCAAATTCCTCCTACGTCTTAGAGGAAGTACAGAAGATACAATGGTAAAAGTGATTGCTCCACTGAGTTTCAAATTTTCAAGCAAGAGCAATTAAACTATCTATTAAAATAAGTGCATGAAGTGCTTTAATACATGGATCTTGAGTATAAATTGTTGAATATGGCTTAGTAGGGTTCTGATATAAATTTCTATATCAAAGAAAATGCAGAAGTAGTAATAGCCTTATCTAATAATTTTTTCTTTCTTTCTGAGGTGGACTTTCACTCTGTTGCCCAGGCTGGAGTGCCGTGGTACAATTCCACCTCACTGCAACCACCATCTCCCAGGTTCAAGCTATTCTTGTGCCTCAGCCTCCCGAGTAGCTGGGATTACAGTCATGCACCACCACGCTCAGCTAATTTTTGTATTTTTGGTAGAGATAGGGTTTCACCATGTTGGCCAGGCTGGTCTCGAACTCCTGACCTCAAGTGATTCACCCACCTTGGCCTCTCAAAGTGCTGGGATTACACATGTGAGCCACCATGCCTGGCCCTAATAATGTAATTTCAATTTTGGTTCTGCCTAGGTTTTTTTTTTTCTGGTCCTGAGTTCTTGTTCTGAGTGGGTCATTTATCTCTCGTTCTGCAAAGGCCTGTACTAAAATAGGCACGTCCTTGAACTGGGGCTCTTATGACTACATGCGGAATTGTTTCTATCAGTCATGAGAAGCAGGCACATTTCTCATTTCTCATTTCTCATACGAAAAAGGCTTTGCTTACTTGAATAAACACACCAAAAAAAAAAAAATGTTGACTGCTTGGTTTATGTGTCACTCCAAAGGAGAAAGGAAAGAAAAGAAAGATGAGCATCACGTCCTAGTTTTGCTGTGTTTTTCACATCTGTTTGAGCCCAGAGTGTCTTTTTTAGCTAGGTAATATTTCTGCTCAGCTGAGATGAGGGAAGCAGCAATAACCCTGAGGAACGAAGCATACACCTCGCATGCAACCACAGCCTCCCGACTGTGTATGGTCACCTTACCCGATAGTAGCAGAAACATTGAGTTCTATGATATTATGTAATTTGCCTTGAGGAAGTTCATTATATTTTCACAGAATGAAAGACCATCTTTATTACATCCCTAGCACTGTACGGATTTTTTAACCCAGTTTACACAGTATCTATTACCCTTGATTGCTTCCCTTTTTGGTTGTCCACAGAAATGTAAAGATGTGAGCCTGGGATTTTTGAGAACCCAAACACATTTAATCTCTTTGCTTATAGGAAGGGAACAGAAGTTTATGTTGGACATGATTTTAACCTTATCTGCAGTTCTCCTAGGACATTACCAGTCCCCTCTTAATTAGCCTGAGCACTCTGTAATTAGTCATTCCTCTGATTTAGCAAACACGGATGGAAAAAGAGTTCCATAGATGTACTAATTTGTTTCATTAAACCATTTAACTGATCAACCTGTTTATTAATGTTTATCTTCATTTTTCTGTAAAAGGCTTTTTGCTAAGTGCTGGGGGAGATCAAAGGGAAACAAACAACTTCTCCCTCCTCAATTACAGTACAATTTTCTCAGTAGTAATGATATTTATTTTATATTTCTCATTTCCGATATATACACTTTTTTCTTATAATTTAGTTTTAAAAAGTGAATGAATGAACAGAACAAGACTCTAAATAAATAAATAAATAAACACAGAGAGAAAATGAATCAAAAGTGAAACGACACCTGAAAATGAATGTTGAGTCCTTACTAACATGGATATCAACATTGCTTAGCTATGTACGGGTAAAGAGCAATGTTGTACAATTGTCACAAGCCGTCAGTCTTTTCTGTGTGATAGTACTCAGATGAAGAGATGTATGTGGATCTCGTGATGAAGACTGGATGAGCCCATATCCTTCTCAGAGACGTTGGGTGTACGTTTGCAGATACGCCTACCACTATTTTAAAAATGCAACTGACGGACACAGTAAGATTAATAAGATTACGTACGCTAACTGTTTGTTACCAAGATGCATCTCTATGTCATAATGAAAACTGAACTTTAAGAAGAAAGACCTGCTTTTGGATGAAGGATATTAGAGTGAATGCAGGGAAGGCTCATTTGACGTGTTTTGTACCCAAGACACCTCTAGCTGTCAGCACATCCGGCAGTTTTCTGGCTCTTTAAAATTCAATAGACTTTCCTTTCTTGTAAAAAAAAAAAAAAGTTTATGGAAACAGTCCCCATCGCAATCACAAGCGGGTTTGTTTTCTGCACATAATACATTTACATGCACGGGCTCTGTTGCATGACAACAATATTGTGTAAGTCTTTCCTCCTTAAACCTTCCACCTTGCCAACTGCAACAGAGAAAGAAGACAGGTCCGGAAGTGGGGACAAACCAGCCGTGGGAGAGACGGAACTTCTTACTCAGTGGAGTAGTTATGTGTGGATGACCAAGTCCTTATGCTCATTTCATCCCCCATAAATGTATTTTTTTAAATCCCATATTACTGCTTGGACACTGTGTTTGACATAATTTTGAAAATCTTGGGTGCTGATCACTATTCATTACTATTTTGACCACCACCATCTACTGCTTTAAAATAAATTTCGTTTCTAACTTTGGTCCAGGGTTCAAAAGAAAACATAAATAAATAAATAAATATAAATCTGTTTCTGAAACAAGCGTCAGATTTTTCAGGATTTTCTAAAACATGAATTTTAACACAATTAGTATATATTATACACGTAGTTTGACATAAAATTAGATCACTGCTATATCCACTTAATGAATTAACAATGACAGACAAACGGGCAAAATGCTTTTTCTTACTCATTCCTCTCTGTTACATGCATATATCCTCTATTTTTGCTTAGACACTCTCAACATAATTATTACTCACTGATAATAACAGCCCTTGGTACCCAAAAGATTAAAATCACATCCCTCTACATTTCAACTGTAAGCCTAATTCAGTCTCTCCAGCCATTTCGAACCCAAGAGTCGGTTTTAAATGCGGTCTTGAAAGCACCGTGGAAACCTGGAGCCCTGTGGAGAACAAGGAAGGGAAAGTTTTTGATGCCAACTTGACCATCCCTCTGTCCCTGGCCATTGCCATGAATATTCTTTAGAACACGGTTAGAAAAGGGACTGGTCGGGGGTGGAGGAGGTGAAAGAAACTCTTAACTGAATTTAGTAGGCATTCATCCAAGGAGACAAAGGAAAAAAGTGACAGGGAATCCTCAGCCTGTGAAAGCAATGAGGAATGAATTGTCACAACCAAAGGCCTCTCGGGCACCCATTTGTTGTTACATATATGTGGCTGAAACATATGCTTAACGTATAAGTTGAGAATTTTCCTAAAATTATCTATCATGCAGCTTCTATGGTGAAAACATTCTCAAGGAAACTCCCAGGAATTTCAGGATACCAATATTCCCACACTTGGAGCAGCCACCTTTAAATCTTTATTTTAATGAACGCATTGTAGCAGCAGCTACGATGTTACACATAGCCCTGAAACTGGAAATCAAACACAAGTTCTAAGTTGCAGAATGTAATGGATAATCTTACGTGTCAACTTGACTGGGGTATGGGGTGTCAAGCTGTAGCAGTGGCTACGATGTTACCTAAAACTGGAAATCAAACACCAGTTCTAAGTTGCAGAATGTAATCAATAATCTTATGTGTTAACTTGACTGGGGTATGGGGTGCCCAGGCATGTGGCTACACATTTAGCTTGGCTATAAGGGTGTTTCTGCATGAGATGAACACGTGGATCCTGAGACAGAGCCAGCGGAGTGCCCTACCCATGCTGGCTCGGCCTCATGCCACCAACTAGAGACTTGAATAGAACAAAAGGACGGCCCTCCCAGGAGCTAGCGGGAACTCCTCCGGCCTGAGCGCCATAAGCTGGGATGCAGGTTATGTTCTACCTGCTGATTCAAACTGACCCACTGGCTTTTTCTGGGTTTCAAGAATGCTGGCATTGGAACGGGAATTTACACCCTCAGACGTCCTGGTTCTCAGCCCTTCGGACTCAGATGAAAACTACAGCGTCAGTTTTCCTGGGTCTCCAGCTTGTGGATTGCACATCTTGAGATCTGTCTGTTTCCATAATCCTGTGAGCCAATTCCTTATAATTAATCTCTCTGTCTCTCTATCTGTATCTCTATCTCATCTATTTGTAAATCCATATATCTCCTAATGTGCATATATATATATGCACCTGTATTTTACACACACACATAATATATAATAAATAAATATGTGTATGTGTATGTATGTATATATATATTATATATATAATATATATATATATATATATGCATATGTTCTGTTTCTCTGGAGAACCCTGAATAATATACAGAGAGTCTGCACAATTCACTGTACAATGAGAGTTCACCACCCTACTTCTAGAATTATTTTTTAAGTTCCGTTTTCCCTAAAATTATGGTTAGTAAAAAAATTCATCATTTTTAAATTTGTGAGTGAGGAAACAATTAAAAAATTGCACAATGCCAATACATAAGTTTAATTTAAACTCTCTTCAATTCATTTCAGTAAAGTCACATTTTCTATCATCAAAGACCTATCTGAATGATTGAACAGGGTAGAGGTTCTATTTGAACTTTGGATACTTTGGAAAGAGAACAATAATGCAGAACTTTACTTTTTTAAAGTCATTAAAATTATCTGGTCATGTCAGTGGTTTTTTTTCTCTCTCTCTTTTTTTCCTTTCTTTACTTCTTTTCTTTTCTTTTTTCTGTTTTTTTTTTTTTTGGATAAGGTCTCATTCTGTCACCTAGGCTAGAATGCAGTGGTGCAGTCATGGCTCACTGCAGCCTCAACCTCCTGGGCTCAAGCGATCCTCCTGACTCAGCGTCTTTAGTAGCTTAGACTACAGGTGCAGGTGTACAACACCATACCCATTTATTTATTTATTATTTATTTTTAGAGATGGGCTGGGTTCAAGTGATCCTCCTGACTCAGCCTCTTTCGTAGCTTGGACTACAGCTGTGCACCACCATACACATTTATTTATTTATTATTTATTTTTAGAGATAGGGCCTTGATTTGTTGCTCAGGCTGTTCTCAACCCCCTGGGCCCATGCTGCCTTTCCACCTCAGCCTCCCAAACTTCTGGGATTACATGTGTGAGCCACTGCACCTGGCCTTGCTCTTTATTTATTCATGCTGTCATTTGTAGTTAAATGTAGTAATCACTAATCACATCTGTCTTATATCTTCCATAAAAATTTTAAAAAAATTAAGTCTAGATGTTTTCCTCTTATCGAAAACATATTAATTAGCCATAAAGTTATTCAATTATGTTACATAATTTATCTCAGTAAATGTATGCAAAACTTATGCAATTATATGAGAATACCTTTTACATTTCAGATGTCCACTCAAATAAAATTCTGTAAGCAAGATTTTGAAAAGCATATTACCTTTTGTTTTCAGTTTCTCTTTATTCTTTTTGTAAATTTTCTTGACTAGAGAAAGCGTATTTTTGCTATTTGCAACGTCACAATAGTTTTAAACAATTAAGTAATTTTTGAATCCGCTATTCAATAAAAAGCCAAAAACATATGGTAATATATTTGAATTCTTCAATTTAAAGTGTAGGTTTTTTAACTATGTGATTTTTCTTCTCTAGAACAAGGAATGCTTGCCTGATACGCTAACAACATATTCTAACAAGTTAAATCCTACTTTAGAACAACCATACATGCTAAGCAAAACATTTATATGTTGGTTTTCTATGATAGTAGCTTTATGAATGAGTAATAACTAAATTAGGAAAAAAATTAAAGACTTGAAATCTGAAAGCAACAGGTTAAAACAAACCAATTTCAGTTCAAAAGCCCAAGGATTTATATGTTTCGGTTTGCAACAGACACAGTTCAGAACATTTCTCAACCTCATGCCAACGGAACAGACAACTAAGACAACTCAATGTATCATGCATGAAAGCAATGCAATTAAACAATATCATGTATCTCAAGCAGATATTATGGTCACTAATCTTTAAAGTGTACTGATTTTATTTTCCCCTCATGACCTGTAGTAGATAATTGAAAATTAAAAATTGAAATCAGTGAACACATTCAAGTGATTCCGCTTGCTATCAAAATTTGCCCACACCGAGCGACTAGGCTGACTACAGAGATGTTTTTCATTCTCTTTGTCCTTTACAAACAAAGCCTTACAATTATGTAGGACCAAAGGTAAATCAAGATTATAAGTACAAGAATGACCTTTAGATGCATTAACCAACATTTTAATCGTGAAGGGCAAGAGATGACTCTTAAAGTTTTTACTTTGTCTCTTATTAGTCTATGCAGCCTTAGGGATATAATTACCTTTCATGGGCATCAATGTCTTCATCCGCTGCATGGGAGTCATAATATCTTTTTGTCATAACTCACGAGTTCCTATGAATAACAAATTGGATCAAATTTGAAAATGTTTTCTAAAAACGTACATTCTCTGTAAATAATATTTATTATTATTTTTACTATTTCTTTTTTCTTTCTTTTTTTTTAAGAGATGGGGTCTCTCTCTGTCACCCAGGCTGGAGTGCAGTGGCACGATCACAGTTCACTGCAGCCTCTACCTCCTGGGTTCAAGTGATCCTCTTGCCTCAGCTTCCCGAGTAGCTGGGACTATGGGCGCTAATGACTACACCCAGCTTATTTTTGTGTTTTTTGTAGAGATAGGGTTTCACCATGTTGCCCAAGCTTGTCTCAAACTCCTGGGCTCAAACCACCTTCCTGCCTTGGTTTTCCAAAGTGCTGGGATTACAGGCGTGAGTCGCCATACCTGACCAATAATTTATGATTATTATAGATTATTTTTTAGAATTGAAAATTGACAGATTTCATTGATATTAATGGGATTACAGGCATGAGCCACTGTACCTGACCAATAATTTATTATTATCATAGATTATTTTTTAGAATTGAAAATTGAGAGGCTTTATTGATATTAATGGGATTATAGCCATGAGCCACTGTACCTGACCAATAATTTATTATTACCATAGATTTTTTTTAGAATTGAAAATTGAGAGGTTTCATTGATATTAATGGGATTACAGGCATGAGTCACCATACTTGACCAATAATTTATTATTATCATAGATTATTTTTTAGAATTGAAAATTGAGAGGCTTCATTGATATTAATGGGATTACAGGCATGAGCCACTGTACCTGACCAATAATTTATTATTATCATAGATTATGTTTTACAATTGAAAATTGAGAGGTTTCATTGATATTAATAAAACGTAGAAAAACATATTTATAGAAAATATCAAAATGAAGTCACCATAAATCCAGGCGGTAGTCCTTTGTAAATAAACAAGTGCTGCAGGAGACAAAAGTTGAGACGTGAAAAGACAACATAAATCTCATTTGGAAGAAAGGTAAAATCTTTGATTGGAAACAAAAAAATATAAAGGCCAAAGACTGCTTTGTCGAAGCTCAATATTTGAAAAGAATGAAAAGCTGTGAAAAACACTCTGAATTACACATGGCTACTTTACAGAAATGACATTCTTGTTTACTCATTAGCATCATTCATAAGACAAGAGGCAATGGCTTCCTCTTTTCCTCTTTGCTGACAAGGTAGTTCGATTATAAACTGGGCTACTACTGGCAGCAATAAATTGAGGAAAATATACAACATGACTTCTTTTTAAATTTACAATAGCCACAATAAGTTCATAAATTTGGGAGATAATCATATAGACTCCCAGGTCCCTGGTGTTTTAATTTTGTCTCATTTTAATCTTGTCCCCTCTCAACTTTCAAAACTCAATGATATAATTTATGAGTTTGTTGAAGTGGTAAGAAAAAAGTTGACTAAGTTTTACATTCCATCTTCCAACTATGTGAAAAAATAAGGCCCAGCATCCTTTGAGATCTTGACTGTTTAATGAAAACTAAGTTTGTTTTTACAAGACAGGAAACATTTCACTTTGAAAATGAGAATTCATGATTTAGACAGATTGAAATGAGGGAATCATGTCATGAATATTTATTGTAGCATTAATGTTTGCAAAAGCTATTCATAAAGCAGAAAATGGTTATCATTCAAAATTCAAGTGATGGGTTAGGGTGTAAAATATAAAGTAAAATATACAACTTCAAATTCATAGAATTTCTCTGAGTCATAGAAGCTGAATGTGTGTATATAACTGAATTTGCCAAGCTTATTCCTTAGAAGTATGTAAAGTGTACCTACAGCCAACTAAACCCACACAAAGCCTTCTTTCTGTTTAACCTAAACTCAAGTTAAATACAGTGTACTGTATCATTTATTAATTAGGGGTATTTTACCATTATTACATTATCACAGTATTTATAATGTTTTTTCAAAATGTTTTATAAAAACAAGCAAAAAAAAATCCCACACATGTATTTTAAGTTTAATCTGTTTCTACATCAGCTGGTCTCACATTGAGTAGAAAGATTTTAATTTGAGTAGAAGGGAGTGAACAATTTAATTACATATATTCTCCCTGCTGGAGTAGGTGAGAAAACATATGTCAGAATGATTTGATTCTACGGAGAAAGTTGCAATAATTCTTTATGCATTTTAAGTTTTACCTAACTAGACAAAAGAGTCATAGGATCTGTTGGGTAAAAATCTAGTAGTTTTTTAGTACTGTGGTTTAATTTCTAGTACCTGTAGTTTAATTTCCTTTAGTTTAGACTGGGACATCCTATTCAGTCTATTCTTGCATGTAAATTTCAATCGAGGAGGAAAATAAAAGCAGATAATGATTAACGAAGAGGGCTTGGTATTGAGTTTTAGCACCATAGTAAGTAATCCTGAGAAAATATTCTCAAGTTAACTCTCAAGTTGATTCAAGTTAATTCTCAAGTTGATGGATCATGTAAGGTGGAGTACACAACAAACACCAAAACAACAAATCGCCTGCACGTGTGTGTGTGTGTGTGTTCCCATAAAAATAGATTGCTAGATTAATCTGTTTCTTGGCATTTTTCATTCTTTCCATAATCTTTAATAAAATATTCCTACAAAACGTATACACGCCATGTTCCTTAGCTTGATCGAAGTACCAGAAAGTAAACATTCACATAACCACCCCAAAGAACAAGGCATTTGTATCAAACCACCCCGGCTCTCGCTGCTCTATTCCCTCTACATGCACGCCCTTCTTCCTTTCTCAGGATCTTCGCTCTCCAAGATCATAGACCGGTTTTCTAAGATCATAGATTGTTTTTGCCTGCTTTTGTATTTCACAGGATGTCATCACAGAGTAAGCAGGCACTCTTTTTCCTCAGGATTCTTTCACTGGGCATTGGGTTGATGAGGTCACCCTGTGCTATGAGGAGCAGTGCTTCAACCTGTTGACTGCTGAATAGCCTGCCATCATCATGAATGGGTCAGGATTGGCATATCCATTCCGCCACTGAGGAACAGTTTGGTGGTTTTCAGATTTTGTCTGTTATGAGTAATGCTGCTATGAACCTTTTATTACATACATTTTGGTGGGTGGGTGTGCACATTTCTGTTGCATACACTTAGGAGCCCTCCTGTTGAATAACAGGACACAGTTAACAATAAGCTTTAGTGAAAATCGACAAAGTTAATGTCCAACGTATTCCAATCTCTCCATTTTCCCAAGAACAGCATATGAGAGTTCCAGTTACCTCACATTCTCAGTAATGCTTGATAATTCCAGCTTTCAAATTTCAGCTGTTCTGTGAAAGTGTGTGTGTGTGTGTGTGTGTGTGTGTGTGAAAGAGAGACCGTCTTTGTGTGTGTATGTAGTGTGATATCTATTGTGTTAATTTAAAAGTCCTTGATAGCTATTTGGGGATTACAGGTGTGCACTACCACACCCAACTAATATTTGTATTTTTAATATCTTTTCATGACAATTGGTCATTTGTAGATCCTATACATTTGTAAAGTGCCTGTTTGCCTGTTCAACAATTTTGCTCATCTTATTTATTTATTATTTATTTTTGAGAAAGAGTCTTGCTTTGTTTCCCAGGCTGGAGTGCAGTAGCGCAATCTCAGCTCACTGCAACCTCTGCCTCCCAGGTTCAAGCGATTCTCCCACCTTAGCCTCCCAAGTAGCTGGGATTACAGGCACCTGCCACCACGCCCAGCTAATTTTTGTTGTCTGAGTAGAGATGGAGTTTCACAATGTTGGCCAGGCTGGTCTCGAACTCCTGATCTCAGACAATCTGTCCGCCTCAGCCTCCTAAAGTGCTGGGATTACAGGAGTGAGCCAATGCACCCGGCCCGTCCATCATTTAATCATCAATTTTATCATTGACTCAGGAGTCTAGGAGATCTTCATAAATTCTGGAGATAGCTATGACCTCCCTGTGTCTTCTTATTTTATTTTATTTTATTTTTTGAGATAGAATCTTGCTCTGTCACCCAGGCTGGAATGCGGTGGTGGGATCTCAGCTCACTGCAACCTCAGCCTCCCAGGTTCAAGTGATTCTCCTGCCTTAGCCTCCTAAGTAGCTGGGATTACAGGTGTGTGTTACACACCCATCTAATATTTGTATTTTTAATAGAGATGGGGTTTTACTATGTTGGCCAGGCTGGTCTCGAACTCCTGACCTCAGGTGATCCACATGCCCATGCCTAAGCCTCCCAAAGTGCTGGGATTACAGGCATGAGCCACCACACCTGGCCTGTGTCTTTTTTTTTTTTTTCAATTTTCCTTAGCACGTATTTTGATCAATGAAATTAATATTAGTTAAATCCAATTTATCAATAATTTCCTTTGTGGCTAATGCTTTTCAATCCTGTTGTAAAATATCTCCCTATTTCAAGTCATAAAGATATTTCACTGTGAAAAAATCTAGAGCTTTACTGCTTTACCTTCAGAGGTAGATCTACAAACTGTTTTAATGTTACTATTTGTACACACATACCACATACACACACATAACACATGCCCGTCTACACGCCAAACACATACATACCACACACACGTTAAAACACGTACACACACCACACATACATGCACACCACACACATACACACAAAATGCACACATGTACACCAAACACACCACACACACTGCACACCACACGCAAACCAATCACACATACCACATACATTACACATAAGTACAAAACCACATACACACCACACACACCACATATGTACCACCCGCACATACACATCATAAACACATCCACACATCCACACACACTCATACATATTCTACCTAGATAGTAAGATCTATGTGAATAGTGTAGTTTTATTTAAAGGAACAGAATACTATGAATAATTTAGAAACAAAATTCTATTAAACACTGGATTTAATCATGTTTACCTTTTTTTGAGATTTGCAATTAAGCATTATGTCAGTTGACTGCATGAGCTGTTATGTTGAACATTATCTGAGCTCAGAGCTCTTTTATGAGCTGGCTATGCAACATCAAATTTGTAAATGTTTAATCAAAAATGCTAAAAATTTAAATTCACAGATATAGAAAGTATCATTATACATAGATGGAAGCGTAGAAGCAGATGTGTTGTACTTTCTAATATGTAACGTAGCTGTGAACTCCAGCTGAGCAGTAATTGACGCACCTCCATCTTCTATAATCAGCGACATGGCAATGAGTAAAACTTAATAATTGGGGTGATAACAAAATCCTGAGAGCAGTATTCATTTTGCTCGACCTCCAGATTTTTAATTTTCAAGAGCTTTCAAAAATTACTTTGTCAGCTTTCTTGGTAAATCCATCATGTCCATGGGGATGGGCCTTCTGGTTCTGGAACTCACATACTCCTGAGCAATTCCTTCCATTCTCACTGATTTAAAATAAACCACAGAATGAATAGCCATTTTCTTTGAATTATTTTCCGCAGAGTTTCAGAAGAGAATAAGGAGCCCGATCCATCACCTCTTTGATGAGTGGGGTGGTGGTTGCACCAGGTGAGGGGGGATCAAGAGGCAAGTGTCTCAGCCTCAACCCCCGCCCCACACTGCCCTAGGAAGAATGATTTCCTGCGTGCCACCTCAGAGCACCTGGCCATGGTCCTTCTTTCATTGCTGTTTTTCCTTCACAACAACAGCAACAACTGGGTTGTTCTTCCCAGTGTAAGCAAATACATGCAGTTCACCCTTGCACGTCGGCTCCAGTATTGTATAGTACACTCCAAGAGTACAAGCGTAAAGACACTACATCTGAAAAAATAACCTTAATGGTGACTGGCAGAGAGTTGTCTGACCAAATCATCTGACCATAGTCAGGTAAAATGTCACATTCTTAATCATTGCTCTGGTCCCAATACGTGATAACTACACATATTGATAAATACACCATCTGATTTGACAATTTGGGGATACACAAAAGACTGATAAACCTGTGAGTATTTAAATTGATTAGAAGAGAAGCAGTGTATTATTTTGTGTGTCTCCTTTCATTGGCACCCTGCATTCGTAGTCAGATTGAGAAGGAAAAAATCACATTACATTTAAACAGAATAAGGCTACTTAAAAATACATATATAATATATATTTAAAAATATATGTATTTCAATATGTATATTTTAATATATCATATATTATATAAAATATATTTTAAAATTTGAATTTAATATGATATATATTTTTAAATATGTATCATATATATTTATGATGTTTTATATATATATTTTTAATATATCAAATTTCACAGGTTTAAAAAATTTGATATATATTGTTTTTATAAACCAACTTTTTCACTTATTTTAGCCAGTCACAATGATATATAAACAATTTCATATGTTTATGAAATGTGATATATTTTTAAAATGATACGTAGTTTGGTCTTTATAAACCAATTATTTTCACTTATATTAGCCAGCCATAATGATATATATATCATAAATATATATATACGTATATTTATGTGAGACTAAATATATGAGATACGTATTTTCAGACGGTGGTCAATAGACAACTCTGGCTGTGATCCCCAGGAAAGCTCTGCATTCACTCTGGCATTCTGCCAGAAAGCACAGCACAGACGGTGAAACAGAGACAGAGAGGAAGATGTATTAAATAACTCTGAGCAAAGCAAATATACCAAGTTTAGGAGACAGTTTGAAGGTCAAGAACTCTAAGGTAGCTAGAGATCGCAAGGCAGAGTTCTGGGGCAAAAGGAATTTTGCGGATAAAAAAGCTCCAGAAATCTGCAAAGGTGTCTCACTGGATGTTTATTGCATATAAAGACAGACACTTGTATAGTGAAACTCCGTGGCGGCAAAGACCAGTTGGGTAGGTGTGACATGAATGGTTTCCAGAAATCACCCATGCCTGAAATTATTTGAGTTTCCCCCAGCCTGAATGGAGCCCTGCGTTGATCCTTTGTGTAGCCAAAGAAGCTCTAGAAGGGCTACACTTCTTTAATTCAGAACCAAGCTAACAACATCTAAAATGTTAACACGTCCAGAAAGAAACATAACTCCCCATCAGGTCAAAGTCCAACAGTCTTCACTAGAGGACGTGAAAATTCAGACACTCAAAAGCATATCATCAGCAATTAGTTTAAGGAAAACAAACAAAAGAAATGGAAAATATTTTAAAATCCAATCTACGGAGATAAAAATGATAGTACCTGAAACTGAAAGCCACGGAGTAAGATTAACAGCAGATTAGAAACTACACAGGGAAAGATCTGGTAGTTAGTGCAATTCAAAGAATCAGTCCATTTCATCTAAATTATCAATTATGTGGTCATGAGTTGTTTGTAATATTTTTTAAATGATCTGTTTTGTGTCAGTATGATTAGTATTGATGATCCCACCTCCAGGTGGCAGACTCCCCAGGGAAATGCAGCTAATTTATTTATTCTTTTTATAATTTTTTACCCTGGTTAGTTTTTATCAACTTCATTAATATTTTCAAACAACCAACGTTTTGTTTATTGATTTTCTCTAGTATTTTTCTGTATTCATTTTCATTGATTTTGGTATTATTTTTTCTTATTTCTTTTCTTCTGCTTGATTTAATATTAAATTTATTTTTACCCAATTCTTTAAAGTGAAAGCTTAGATTATTAATAATAGATTTTTCTTTTTTCATCTCTCCAATGCTATAAATCGTCCTCTAAAAGCACTGCTTTTTCTGCATCCCACAGATGTCGAGGTTTTATTTTTTGTTTTCATTTAGTTCAAAATATCTTTAAATTTATTTGGAGATTTCCATTTTTTACCCATATGCTATTTAGAAGTAAGTTTCTAAATTCCCAAATATTTGGGAATTTTTTAGCTACCTTCCTGTTACTGATTTCTAATTTAACTCCATTGTCCTCTGAGAACATTACTCTGTACAATTGCCATTATTGTTAATTTGTTCATGTGTGTTTTGTGGGTCAGAATGTGGTCTTTCTTGGTGAATGTTCCATGGGAGCTTGAAACCCATGTGTATCCTGCTGTTGTAGATGGAGTATTTTATAAATGTCAAGCTATCAGGTCAATTGTTCATGCTGTTTACTCCAACTGCGTCCTTATTGATTTTCTGTCTGCTTCATCTTAAAGAGGCATGTTAAATTCTCCAACTCTTAGTATTGTATTATCTAGTCTTCATTTCAGTTCTCTTAGATTCTGCCTTCCATTAATAAAAAAATTATCAGTATTACTTCAAATATTTATTTGGCCCTATTTTCTCTTTTCCTTCTTCTAGTGTTCCAATTACGTATACGTTACACATTCTGAAATTGTCCCAGAGTTCTGGTATATTCTGTTCTGATTCCCCACACCTTCCCCATTCTTTCTTCACTCATCATTTCACTTTGAGAACTTGCCCTTTACCCATCTTCAAACTCAGTAATTCTTTCTTCAGATGTGTGAAGTCTAGTGATAAGCGTGTCCAAGGTACTCTTTATTTCTGTTTTATATGTTCTAGCATTTTCTGCCTTTCTTAGAAGTTCGTTATCTCTGCTGTGAATCCCAAATACCTGAGACAGTCTCAGTCAATTTGGAACGTTTATTTTTGCCAAAGTTAAGGACACACATCCGTGACACAGCCTCAGGAGGTCCTGACGACATGTGCCCCAGGTGGTCAGGGAACAGCTTGCTTTCATACATTTCAAGGAGACATGAGGCACCAATCAATGTATGTAAGCCATACATTGGCTCCATCCAGCAAGGCCGGGCAACTCGAGGTGGGGACGGGGTTTCCAGGTCATAGGTAGATAAGACAAAAACGGTTGCATTCTTTTGAGTTTCTGGTTAAGCTTTCCAAAGGAAGCAATCAGATATGCATTTATCTCAGTGAGCAGAGGGATGACTTGGATCTGTCTGTCCTTTGTCCACAAGGGATTTCCTTGTGGACAAATTGTGAGGGAAGTATGTAGCTTTTGTTAAAAACAAAAACAAAAACAAAAACAAAAACAAAAACACCTTAGTAGCTATCGTTTTTAGGAGTAGAATGGGAGGCAGGTTTGCCCTAAGCAGTTCCCAGCTTGACTTTCCTTTTGGCTTTGTGATTTTGGGACCCCAAGATTCATTTTCCTTTTACACTGCTTACATTATCCATCTGTGTTTGCACGTTGTTTACTTATTTCATGAGAACGTTTACATATTTACCAGTTGTTTTAATTCCCTTCTGATAATTCCAACATCTGTGTCATACCTGACTTTGTTTCTGAGGTTTCGTTTCTTCAGACTGTTTTTATTTTTTCTTGTCCTTTGCTTTGGCCCAATTTTTACTGGAAGAACTCACGGATCAGGTAATAGGAACTGAGGAGAATCGGCTTCTACTATCAAGAGGTATGTTAATCTGAGTAGTTGCCAGGCTTTGCTCTGTGTTTGCTGAAGAAACTGCAAGCTCCTCTAGTGGCCTTGTTTGTGTCTCTGCTCTTGAGCTGGCCCTCTCTGAGTGTCTGACCTGCAGCTCTTTTCACTGAAACGCGCTATATATTTTGATTGCAAGGGAGCTCTGTTTATGTGATGGTGAGGAGAGGAGGAGGGGTCACGCTATGATACCCCAGTTTAATCTATTTATCTCAGAGGGCCTGTGATGACCTTAGCCTGAGGGTCCTGTGTGGCTTTCTTCCACTTTCCCTGCCCCTTGTGTGAGACAGAAAGGCTGGGGACATGGTCTGGAGAAGATGCCATTCCACGTGGCTCTGGACAAGGCTCTGGGCCAGTCTTCTCCTGGAAAGTAGGCCTTCCTAATGGAGGGGGCCCGGAGCTCATTTCTCTCTCTGGCCCTTGCCAGAGGCAGCAGAGAATCGTTCTCAGATCTTCACCATGAAAATGTACTGTGGTGTTTCTCTGGTAAAGCCCAGAAACGTGTGCAAGCCCCATAACGGCCACTTTCAAGAGTTTGTCACTCATCCACATCTATACCCAGTCTTCCTGGTTCATCAGAGTTGCCATTCAAGTGACCCAACCAGTTAACGGTCCCATGGAAGCAGATCTGGGCTGTGACTCTGGATTCTCCTCTGTCTCCAGATTCTATGATGGCTGTGCACTTTGTGCTCTAAGTTCCCTGATGGATGAAAGAAAAGACAGTGGTTTCAATGTGTCCAGCTGTTTCTTGTTGCCAGGAAATAAGCACCAGCCTCCAAGCATTTTACATATTTCAGCTGAGCCCGGAAGTCCTTCACTGATCAAAGTGTCCACAAAATTAGGATCTCCTAATTTGATCAAAAAGTGTTTTCTGCAAAATATTTTCTGGAAATTTGTTCTGTATTAGTATGTTCTCACACTGCTAATAAAGACATACCCGAGACTGGGTAATTATAAAGCAAAGAGTTTTAATGGACTCACAGTTCCACGTGGTTGGGGAGGCCTCACAATCATGGCAGAAGGAAGATGAGGAGCAAAGTCACATCTTACATGACAGCAGGTAAAGAGAGTCTGTGCAGTGGAACTCCCACTTATAAAATCATCAGATCTCATGAGACTTACTATCACGTGAACAGTATGGGGGGAAACCACCCCCACGATTCAATTATCTCCACCTGGTCCCACCCTTGACATGTGGGGATTATTACAATTATTACAATTCAAGGTGAGATTTGGGTGGGGACACAGCCAAACCATATCACTATATAGTATAAAATCAATAGTACATGTGTTTGTTTTTTTAAGTCCTATTCAGTTATTTTTTCTCTAATTTTAGGATCTTCTTGTCTTGTTATTTTGCAATTTAACTATGATATATCATCTCAATGTGAATATCCAAAAACAATAAAATAATGCTAAGAATTAGCAAAATAATGGTTACTTTTTTTTTTCGTTGTTAAATGGACATTTTGATGGTTTCTGAATTAAACTTTCCAAGAGTTAGGAATCGTGATATTTTAAGGGTTGTCACTCCATTTTATCTCCAGGTTTCTGGGTCTCATGCTTTTCACTGCAGCAGGTGAGTTTGCCTTAGGGAGTTGTCCCTGCCCTTTGGTAGGCAATCTTGTTACAGTCACTATTCCAGATGCCCTTCCTCCTTTGAAAAGTGGTTGGCACCTAATTTTAGTTCAGCCAATCAGTCCTTCTTTTCCTGACATTTAACTTGAAAATAAAGTGTCATCATGGACTAAAACTGGTTGTCAGTAACTTATCCGCTATCCTAATGGACAAACACACTCAGTAGGTCTTCTCATCTGGATTCCTTGAGTACTTTTGCTCTTCACCTGGCCAGGGCTTTTATCCTTGGCGGTTTTGTTGTTGTTATTGTCTGTTTATCACAGCTCCTTCCAATAAGTATTGTTATCTGCTGGTTATCCACTAACTGATTCTGGTGTTTAATATTTGTGATATAAAGCCTTATATATATTGCTGCTTAATACCATGGTATTGGTACATGACTGTTGACTGATGTTTGCATCGCAAAATTCTCGTCACGGCGTTCATGCATTTTCCACCTTCAACACAGATGGAATAGCTACAAGTGTCAGGCACTCTTCAGTTATCTTACACAGAGAATAAAAATTACCCCTCTCAAATTCTGGAGGAGTTATGAAGCGTTTCACACTGATTTTGCTCCCAAATTATCCAAGTGAAACTGGAAAACTACTAACTACACAAATATTCAACTCACTCAATTTGTTCACTTCGGCTGAGTCTGTTAACCAATAAAGTGGACCGCGGACCACTTGATTTCCTTATTTCTAAGTCCCTGAAAATATTTGGTCCATTTTTTCCCGACTGCTCCTTGTGTGTGTGTTCCTAACGTATAACCCAGCCCCGAAAACTGACACACACATGATATCAGGGGTGAAGGAAAGCCTCTTCGTAAACATCCAAACACCACCAGCAACTCCGCCTCAGGAAATTCCCCCGGGCTTCTCTTGCCACCATTTTGAATTTTATAATGCCAATCATTAGTTTACTTTGCTTGCTAATGTAACAGGCTTTGCATCCTGGATCACCCTCTTTCTTTTTATAATTTGGATAAAGATTCACAGATACAGCTGCTTTGTGAGGGATATAGGGCATTGAGTTGGGTAACTGCCAAGAAACACACCATGGTAATAACTGCCAAACGCTTTCCACTCCTGCATTGGAACCTGGGCCATTAAGATCCTGGATGCAAGCTCTCTCCTCCCCTCCTGTACCCACTTTACCTGAATTGGACATCAGGTAAATACCTTATCTCTTAAAAGACAAATTATAGTGTCTGACCTTTCACCTTTTATGGAAGAATAGCAATAATCACCCTGACTTTAAAAACAATTTGATAAATGAAAAGATTGGATCATAATTTAAAACATTATTGTCAAGCCGTTAATGGAAAAGAACAAAAATTTAAAGTTTTGACAGCAACAACAACAAAAATGGAAACAAGGAAGACGTTCTCTAGAAACTGTCAATCAATTACTTAGTTGATAGATCATTGAGCCCCTGTTATAAACCAGCTATGGTGATAGGCTCACAGTAGAGAGATGAAGAAAATAAGCAGCTTGCCCTTGAGAAACTCAGTCTCCTCGTGTAGGAGAAAGGGACTCTCCAAACACAGAAAAATCACAGTTGATAATATTCAAACTGAGAAAGGAAAAACCACCCTGAAACTTTACATCACCAATTTAATCTTTTAAAAATACCCATGAAAAAATCTTAATTTTGAAAAGTACTTTCAGAAGTCATAGTTTTAATAAACACGGATGTTTATTATAGTTTTAATTTACAGTTTATTATAGTTTTAATAAACATAGATGTTTATTAAAGCTAGCTCTTATCATTATGAGACTAGACACTAAAAACGCAGCATTGAAAGGAAGCATCTTCAGTGTGTGTGTGTGTGTCTGTGTGTGCATATACACAAATATATACACTATACACTATCCTGTAATTATATTACTTCATACTTAATTACATTAGGTCATTCCATCATAGCAAGATTTTCTTTGTGAGTAAAACAGAGTTGGGCTTTTTCTTTAAATTGAGTTGAACTTTTTGTTTGTCTAAGTCTCCAAGAAACTAAATTTAAGTTGCTGTGGGTATTGAAGTCAGGACACCATAGCTTTCAGTAAATCATAATATTAAAAAAATTGATTGCACAAGAGATTGATTTTGTGGGCAACAGCCATTTTTCTCTAAGACAAGTTATTCTGAGTGCCAATACGTTTTACCATACACAAATATATGGTAGTTTTAAACTCTGAACCAAAATGGATTTTTATCAACCCTTTCAATATGATTCTGTCACAAATAATTTTTTTTGGACAACAGCAGAGTACAAAACCCTTTAAATAGATATGTTGAGAGCAAAAATAATCTATTTTAATTGCAAGCATGTAAAAGTCTACCGTATTTACGCTAACCAGTAACTGTAGTGATAAAGGCTTTTTATAACTTTTTAAATTAATAAAAAGGTAAAAAATGTAATTCCTTAGAAATACATGAGATAAAACACATTTTGAAAAAGCTCTAAAATAAATGATCTATTTATCTAGCAGATTACTTTTACCAAGTTGTTTCTTTATGTTTTCTCAGAGGTTCACTTTTCTGCAGAAATATTAACTCTGTTAATACGCATTCCCATCCCCTCATTTCAGTATGATTCTAAATCAATAGAATTCTGTAGCTATGCCATGCATGTGACCATAAGTAAAGAGAATGCATATATTTGAAAAACACTGATTTCAGGAAGAACTAGTGTACTTATAGGAGAATGTACTATAAAATTTGGAGGAAAGAGAGTTCTGGTTTGGATCATGGGCTCCAGAGACTACTGTGGATTCAAAGTATAATTCTGAATATCTGTGTGATCTGGACCAAGTTAAGTCAACCTTTCATGCCTCAGTTTCTTAATTTGTAAAATAGGAAAAATAGTAGTATTACTAATTGATAGTTTTTGAAATTTTAGTAGACTATGAAATAACACATGCTTTTATATAATAAACATATAAAAATTTTATATATTGATTATATAAAAAAGTCTGATACATGCACAAAGCTGTTCACCGATAGTTTATTTCGATAATGGGAAAAGGGAAATATAAATAACTACCCAACATAACAGGTTAGTTATAGACATATTGTGGAATACACTGCAACCATTTAAAGTAATGCTGTACTCTATTTCTTCACTTTATGTAGAAATATGTTCAGGATATATTTTTGAGTGACTACAAAGCAGATTGCAAATAGGATGCATAGAATAAGCTCACCAATAGAAAATAATATGTATGTGAGCAAATATGCAAATATTTTTGCATTTATCTATGCAAAGACATCCAGCTTATTCCAGTTCTGTATTCTGCGGCTAGATCTGAGCAGAAGCCACACTTGGTTTTCTGGGCATACACACTGAGAAGTGCTGAGTAAACATGGGAAACACAGAGTGTGTTTGGCTCCCTGCGTTGCCTGGCAATCCTCATTATTTTTGCCTCATCGATTCCTCATATTAATTCACACTTTTTAAAATGAGGATATTTGACTCCTCCTTTTTACTCTCAGAAGTTGAATTTGCTTCTGAGTTGACTCAGACAAGAGAACGCTCTTAAGTTCTCATCATCACACTTACAATCCACCCACATTGTCTTCTCTCTTCTCACAATAAACTGTTAGTAATCCCTCTTTGGGAATTTTTTTTCCACAAGATCTCATGCTCTCTCTGTCACCTGCTTCAGATTGTTCTAGAAGTCTTTCATTTTTATGGTATGTTTAGTTTTCCTCTCTGTGGGAACCCTTTCCTTACACAAGAGGGAATGTGCACCAATGGATTCATCCGTCTCCAGAAATCTCCGTTCTGCAAAAATCCTCGGGAGTTATCTATCTCTGTCTCCACATCCTCACTTTTCACTTTCTTCAAAACTTTTCCAATCACACTTTCATCCCCATCACAGCAATCACACATTTTAGCCAGTGGTGAGCGTGAATAATCTCCATGGTTCATGCCATCCAATTGCAAACAGTCAGTTGGTCTTTCTCCCACCAAAACTTGCGTCAACATTATAACAGCATTGACCACTTCTGAGGCTTCCCCCTTCCTAAAACTCCCTCCCGCCTTGGCTCTTAGGAGCACGCACACACCTGGTTTTCTTCTCTCACCGGCTATTTCTTCTTGTGCATTTTCATGGCTTTGACACCTTTTTCCAATTTCTAGATGGTGACGTGTCCCAGAGAGCATTCCTCAGAGCTCTTCCATCTCTACTCATTTCCTAGGAGATCAATTCCAGGCTCAGAGTCTCTCTCCTGGCTGCAAGGTCCTAGACTGTAGCGGATGACATTCTCCAGTTGTGTGACATTTCTCCCCGTCAGAATATAGAGAGCTCGGAGTAATGCAGGTGAGACCCCTGGACCCTAACTTTCTGACAGCAATGCCTACTGGGGCAAATGGAGTTAAACACACCTCTGCTCTTCCCTCCCTCTGTGTCTGTGAGGACTGCTTCGGTCTGGCTCAACAGGGCTGCAGACAGGCAATAGACACGTGTGCCACATCCCCAAACAAACACTTTTTAAAAATAAACTCCTAGAAAGCCCATGCATGGTGTGCAGTTTTATTTCAGACAATAACATTTGCTACAATAAAAACCTTCTTATAAGCAAATATAACTTCTCTCTCCCTGTTTTTATGTCAAATCTTTAATCATTGTGAGTCAAACTGAATTATTCATAATTCTTAAAACAGCATAATGTTTTGGCATGTTTGTGATAATTTAAAGCAGCAATTTAGACGTTAAGGAAACACTTCTCTTTATTCTTCATTTCAGCAATAACTGAGCCATTAATCTCAGTTTGAGTTTATGTGACTGTTTAGTAGTCAGGCTTTCCCATCCATTTACACATTTAATTCAACATGTATTCTGTAACTTTTATTTTTTACTTTTTTTGGCTGGAAATATAGCCCTCGGGCAAAATAAAGAAAGTAATTCCTTTTTGTCAAAACATTGCAAGACTAGCTCAGGGGTTATCCAGTAGATTTCATTAGGACTGTGTGTCTCTAATTCTGCCATTATTATGCTTATCCTGAGAGACCTTAGGAGATGAAGCTCAGCCCTAATGGACTCACTATTATACTTGTAATTTTAACAGAAGGTCTTGGATATGAGTATTGTAAATTAGATATATTATACGACAAAAAGCAAAAGTGAAATGCTCCCTTTTGATATATTGGTATTTAAATAACGAATTTTATTAAAGCACAAAGGGAAGATGACCATGCACATGTGATCATTAGGAACATACCTCTGAACTCAGCATGATGAAAATCCCAGCTTTAATGAGAAAACAGCCTTTAAAAAATCTCTTCAGACAGGAGCTCAAACTGTGGTCATGTATTTAGATTTCTCTGTGGGGATAAACCTGTACATTAGAGAGGCCTCTGATTTCACCCTCTTTACACTTATCATATTTGAAAGGGTTGAATTTGTTACTATAGAGGTTTAGACAAACTTTATAAAGACGTTTTCATAGAGTGGCTTCCCATATATGTATATTGTGGCTAAAAATTACCTGGTCCCTGTACAGAAGTAATTCAGAGCACAAATGAATGAATTATGCTGCTTTTATATGAAGAAGGCTGACAAAGATGAAAAGTAATATATTATTACCATCAGTATTGATATTAAATAAAAATCTATCGTGGTAGAAAGTTGATTAAATTAGTCTCCTTCTATGTGAGAATCGGCAGTGGTTCATCTTGATTGGAATTGGCACACATTCTGAATGTGTGATCTTTATGGCTTCAGGCACTCGGCCATCACTGCCCTCTGAGGATTTGATCCATCATAGGAGATCTCACAGAGCAGCCCCTCAGAACGAGGACCCACTTTACAGCAAAGTAAATGGGAAATGGGTCTCGTGCTCCGGGATACAATGTTCTTATCACAGACTCCAGCAGCACAAAAACAGGTGCCTATTACAGCATTGAGATGACCTTTGCACAGGTGATGAGCTGGCAAGAGACCAGACTTTACAAAAATGAGATATTATTCTCCAGGTTGAAGTAGACACTTCGGCAGGGTGGATGCTAAGTCTCTAAGAGGAAGACATCGAGAAGCAGGAGTGGCCTCTCCTGTTTTTACTGCCGGTGACCTACTCGACAAAGCTGTGATTCTTTTTCTTGAAACCCTGGGCTTGCAGTTTGGAGGTCCTTATTCTCAAAGGGAAAGACTTTATTCAAGGATAGAGAAGCTGAAATTTTACTCTATAACCTTGTGCTAAGGACCAGCAGGCAAGAATAAAAGACATTATTCTTGCAGAGGTAATAAGCACCCCAAATCATCAGGAGGAGTTAGGGCTATTGTCACATAGGGGCATGCAGGTCATGCATATGGATGCTCCTCGGGACTTAGTTTCCAAAACACCATGGCAAGTGGATGAGTGCAGCAGCCAAGGTCTGAGAAGCGGTGATGGCTAGCAGCTCTGTTCTTTAAACCTAACCCTGGGACTGCTGAGGGCTCTTTCTTGCTCTGAGCCCCAGTCAATGCTGGCAGCCTTTGGCAGCTGTATGGATTGAAGAAAAGTGTTCAAGCATGGACCAGAGTGCTTCCGGAACACGGACAGACATAAGAGGCACTGTATTAGTCAAGGTTCTCCAGAGAAACTGAACCAATGGGAGAGAGAAAGAGATGAATGAATACAAAACTATATATATATATAGTCATGCAAATTTTTTTAACCAAGATGGATTTTTATTTAATATCAATGTTGATGGTAATAATATATTACTTTTTATCTTTGTCATTCTTGTTCATATAAAAGCATCATAGTTCATTCATCTGTGCTCTGAATTATTTCTGGATAGGGACCAGCTAATTTTTAACCACAATATACATATTTGGTAAGCCACTCTATGAAAAAGTCATTATAAAGTTTGTCTAAAACTCATATATATATATATATGTGTATATATATGTATATATATGTATATATGTATATATGTGTATATATGTATATATATGTATATATGTATATATATTTGCATATATTTACATAGACATATAGAGAGACAGAGAGAGAGAGGAGAGATTGATATTTATTATATTTTGAGAAAATGGCTCAGTTTACTGGGCAGGCCAGTGGGCTGGCTATTTATTTAGGTGACAGTTGAGGTGACAGTCTTTAGTATGAAGGCTGGAATCTTAGGCAGAATTTCTATAGTACAGTCTGAAGGCAGAATTTCCTCTAATTTTGGGGAACCTCATTATTTGCTTTGAAGACTTTCAACTGTTTGGATGAGACCCACCCATATTACAGAAATCTGCATTACATTCTGCAGGGAATTTCTTTATGGGGAAGAGCATTCCGTTATGAAACTATAAACATTTAAGTATCATTTTTCCCAAGAACTAGCAGATATGTCCTCTAACAAGTAAATAAACATGAATGCAAAATATGTTGCTACTGGAAAAACTATGGGAGCAGAAGAAAATGGAAGATTGTATTCCAAAGAGATGCCTTCATACTACAATTTTTTATAAAACACATATGTTTGTAAAACCTGGGAAAGCTTTACTTACTACTTTTCTGGGAAGAGGTCTTGTACATTTTCACATAAACCCTCACAACTTATCTCATGTCGGCTCTTATCCCAATGAGCCAATTTAATGGTGATTCACATGAGTGTCATCTTTGCTTTCGAACAAGAAGTTTGGCTTTATTTTTTTCTGACAGTTTCAGGAACAAGTCATTTTGTGAATCAAAGTTACAACTCATCAGTATTCAGCAGAAAAAATGTATATAAAGGCATACAAAATAATATTTCTGTTGCACAAAGGTTAAGATGTAAATTACGTGGCCGGGCGCGGTGGCTCCCGCGTGTAATCCCAGCACTTTGGGAGGCCGAGGCGGGCGGATCACGAGGTCAGGAGATCGAGACCGTCCTGGCTAACATGGTGAAACCCCGTCTCTACTAAAAATACAAAAAATTAGCTGGGCAAGGTAGCGGGCGCCTGTAGTCCCAGCTACTCGGGAGGCTGAGGCAGGAGAATGGTGTGAACCCCGGGGGACGGAGCCTGCAGTGAGCCGAGATCGCGCCACTGCACTCCAGCCTGGGCGACATTGAGACTCCGTCTCAAAAAAAAAAAAACGATGTAAATTATCAAGAATCCTTCAGTATTAAAATATGCCCACATACACTGTGAAACCTAAGGTTTTGCTGGATAACTCCTGTCATCTTGTATAACACACCGCCAGTTGTTTCATTAGACACAAATGAAGAACAACTGGACATTTATTATTCAACCGAGATCTTTGATGAGATTTGCTTCTTTACATACAGAAAAAATATATTACGTACATGTTAGATTTATGCCTCAGTGCTGCTTTCTTTCAAGTGTACCAGAGCCCAATGAAAATCATTAGACATATTATAAATTTACCCTGAAATATAGAGTGAAAAGCAGGCACCATTGCAGAGAGGGAGTTGATGCAATATTTTTCTTAATCTAGGATTTTCTAGTTTTTCCTGAAAATAGCTCCCAAAGGGAAATATACATGTCAAAACAAAGCAGATGGAAATAAAAGAATCCACACTGAGAGAGATTTAATTGCAAGGGGATTCAACACTGCTCCCAGACATGTTTACCAAAAGAGTATTAATGATTGGGTAAGAAACACAGGTAAGAAATATTTAATGTTGCTCATGGAACAATAAAAGATACACAGACCTGCCTTAGTTCAGGTGAGCAAACTAACAAGTGGGCACATTTTTATTTATGCACATAAATCTTTATGTATTTGCCATGTAAAGTTTACAAGATCCTGGAAAGAATGTGGCACAGGAGTTGAGGGAATGTAAGGCCAGAGGGATGTTACATTTGCAAGGGGACTCAGACATCCTGCAGGCCACGTTCCTGCTGGAGGTCCACATTTCATTAATGGATCTTGCCAGGTGCCTGAATCTAAGCTTCATTACTGACATGCAGAACATTTTGGTTTAGAATTGTATTTCCTAGACCTAAGACTTGAGATATAACTTTTAATTAATAGAAAAACATACTCCTTCTGCTACATGACAAATCTCCAAAGGTTTGAAACTGACTCTCAAATGTTCCCTACTCCTTTGGCAGTGCCTTCTGGAAGCTCAATATCTCTAAATCCTAAACCTTTCTTCACAGGACATGACGCGGCACAACCTGTGATGTTCCATCTGAATTCCCCTTTTCTGAAGGACTTGGTGCCCTTCTCTGGAGTACCTGCAGCAGATATCTCTTAGCTGTCAAATCCTGCAGATATTGCCTGAACTGTCAAGAGCTGTCTTCTGAAAGCAGTTTACACCTGCTGTTGATCAATATGAAAATATAAAGGTCTGGCTATTATGGCAAACATAAAACAATTCTAAAAGGCCATTATAATATTCTAAATTTCCTTGGGTTGTTATTTTTTCTGGGTAGCAGCTCAACTTTTTCTGCTACTTCCAGCGAACCTGAGCAAGGTAGTTACAGGGTGATTTATAAAATATGGTGTCCTTAGAAACAAGTAGTTATAACAAGTAGTTATGGGATGACTTATAAAATATGGTGTCCTTAGAAACAAGAGATGAGTCAGTAGCATGAATCATATTAAATTTGGTATATAAAGACTATGAAGGAGGGATAATTTTGTCTGTCACCCCAGACAAAAATCAGATCAGCCAAGATAGTGTACTATAAAATAATTGAAATAAAACTTTTCAAGACACTGATACCAGGCAATATAAGTCGCCTTATGTTGCCACACAAATCAGGTGGGCTGTATGATTTTCCCAGGTAACTGTCTTGAGTGAGTCTCCAACCTGTGACAAAGGGAAGCAGAACCAGGCAAGGCTGAGGGTTTGCAGGAAACAGTGCAGCTAAAATTAACAGGACAGAGTAATGGAGGGCTTCATGGAGAGAAAAAATCTGGAGTTCTGCATAGCGATCCTTTGGCATCTTTAGCAGAATATTGAGCAGAACATTTGTGTAAAGAAAATTCCAAAAGCCCAAAAAAAAAAAATCATCTGAAATATATGGGCACAATATATGATACTTATATAGGGCTGCAAATGGTGTCTGTTCCCTTCAGCCAAATTTGAAAACAATTTAAGGAGCATTAGGTAGAATATAAAAAATAGTCTTAGCTCAGTACTGGAAAATAATTATCCCTAGACTCTTTTTTCTCTGATCACACCTTAAAAATGTTAAAAGAAATACCCAGGGGATCAAACTTATTACAATCTTTAAGTGAATCTTACAATAAAGCTCAACATTTTAATAGAAATACCAAAATATGCACCAAACAACAAAGTAAAAATCACAATGATTGGCATGCAATCAAAGATTACTAGGCAGGAAAAGAAGCAGGAAATACAATCCAGAAAGAGAAGAAAAATTGACCCATCAAAACTAATCCAAAATTCGCAATGATGTGCTTTACAACAAAAAGGAAATTAAAATATTTATTATGATTTTTCCTCATTTATTTAAAAAGACGGACATAAAAATTATACAACAAAAAACCCAAGTCACATTTCAGGAGGTAAAAACTAAAAAGTCTGATATGAAAATATGGTGGTTAGCATTTGTGAAACATTAGATATTGAAGAGGAATATATTATTGAATGGGAATATACAGCAAAAGAAACTATGCCAAATAAAATGCAGATCAGAGAATTTTTAAAATAAAAAGAGCATTAGCGGGCAATAGAAAATCTTCAAGTGGCCGACAGATGTGTATTTCTGTCCATTAAAAAGAGGAAGGAGAGATCATGGCGGACGGGAGGCAAGACTAGCCTGCAGCTCTGGACAGAGCAGCGAGTGGGAGCTCGCATTGTAAACTTTAGCTCCAGATGGACGGCAAAAACAAACCAGCAATCCCCAGAGGACCCACAGACCCTCTGAAGGAAGTGGGCTGCTCCTGCAGGACCCGGGAGACCCCCAAAACTGTGAGTGTCCAGCTGCCGAAGTGGGAAAGGGAAACCCTCCTCTCCGGAACAGACACCCCCTGAGAAGTCTATTTGTGGGAGAAGTTTCCGACTTTACCTGGAGCTGAGTCAGTCTGGAGAGCTGACTGAAATACAGGGATAGAGGAGGCAGCAGCAAGGCCCTGGGAGCTGAATGGGTCCCCGGGCAGCCCATTCCTGCCTGGCACCACAGGGATCCAACGGGAGAGGAACAGAGGGTAAAACTACACGGAGAGAAGGAAATCTCTAGCTGAACTTTGTAACAATTCGAACAGCGTGAGAAGTCTCCTGGCCAGAACTCGGGGGAGGACACAAATCTCCTGCACAGTGAGTAAAATTTATATATGTATATTCAAAATAACTTCAGTATTCGAAATTGCTTCGGGGAATTTTGAAAACTCAGACTCTTTCCATACTGTTGTAGTGATCATATAGATAAGTAGGTCACCAGCATCATGAATAAAAATGCACGTTGTTGAGGTGGTTCTGAGAGGTGACAGCGTGCTGGCAGGCCTGGCAGGCCTGGCTCGCTCTCCGCGCCTCCTCGGCCTTGGCGCCCATTCTGGCCGCGCTTGAGCATCCCTTCAGCCCGTCGCTGCACTGTGGGAGCCCCTTTCTGGGCTGGTCAAGGCCGGAGCCGGCTCCCTCGGCTTGCGGGGAGGTATGGAGGGAGAGGCGCGGGCGGGAACCGGGGTTGCGCGCGCCGTTTCCCAGCCAGCGCGAGTTCCCGGTGGGCGTGGGCTCGGTGGGCGCCCCACTCGGAGCGGCAGGCCGGCCCGCAAGCCCCGGGCAGTGAAGGGCTTGGCACCTGGGCCAGCAGCTGCTGTGCTCGATTTCTCGCCGGGCCTGAGCTGCCTCCCCTCAGGGCAGGGCTCCGACCTGCAGCCCGCCACGCCTGAGCCTCCCCCGCCCCCTCCCGGCTGTGGGCTCCTGCGCAGCCCGAGCCTCCCCCACGAGCGCGGCTGCCTGCTCCTCGGCGCCCAGTCCCGCCGACCGCCCAAGGACTGAGGAGTGCGCGCGCACGACGCGGGACTGGCCGGCAGTGGCAACCCGCTTGGGTCACCTTCCACACTGTGGAAGCTTTGTTCTTTCACTCTTTGCAATAAATGTTGCTGCTGCTCACTCTTTGGGTCCACACGGCCTTTACGAGCTGTAACACTCACCGCAAACGTCTGCAGCTTCACTCCCGAGCCAGCGAGACCACGAACCCACCAGAAGGAAGAAACTCCGAACACATCCGAACATCAGAAGGAACAGACTCTGGACGCGCGGCCGTTAAGAACTGTAACACTCACCGGACCCGCCCCCTTTAAGAACTGTAACACACCGCGAGGGTCTGGGGCTTCATTCTTGAAGTCAGTGAGACCAAGAGCCCACCAATTCCGGACACAGTTTCTGCCAAGCCCAGATCAAACTCCCTCTTGGACTTCCTGTTAGCACCTTAAAGTGTATTTGCCATTTTGTAAGCTCCATCAGATCTTATTTTGAGCTATTTAACAGCCTTTGCACCTTATGCAACGTTGTAAGCAAACAGTGAAAGAAATATGTCACTTTGGAAAATGCATCTGAGGAGATTTCAAAAGATGCATGAAAAACGTAATGTAAAGATAAAAGTATTTAAAAATAAACTGTATTTATCAACGTAAACTCCATCAAGCTCAAGACACTTTTGTATCTTGTGATACCACTATTTAGTCTATTCGTAAAGAAATGAGGGTCCTGAGAATTTAACCAAATCAATGCAGTCTTTTTTACATGATCATCTAAAGAAAAATGGGTGCCATTTAAATATTTTTTAAGAGTAGGAAACAAAAAGAGCCCAGAAGGAGCCACGTCAGTTCTCTAAGATGGATGCCTAATGATTTCCCTCTGAAACGTTCACCAAATTGCCCTTGTTTAATGAGAGGAATGAGCAGAATCACTACCTTGGTGGAGAAGGAATCTGTGGGGAAGCTTTCTGGCATGTTTGTCTGCAAGAGCTTTGGCTAACTTTTTTAAAACACTCTCATAATAAGCAGATGTTACCATTCTTTGGCCCTCCAGAAAATCAACAATCAAAATGCCTTGGGCATCCCCAAAAACTGTTGCCATGACCTCTGCTCTGGACCCACCCACTTTTGCTTTGGCTGGACCACTTCCACCTGTGGGTAGCCATTGCTTTGATTGTGCTTTATCTTCAGGATCTTACTGGTAAAGCCGTGCTTCGTATCCTGTTACAGTTCTTGAAAGCTGTGCTTCAGGATCTTGATTTCACTTCTTTTAAATTTCCATCGAAAGTTCTGCCCTCATCTGCAACGGATCTTGGCACAGTGGTTTTGGCACTCAAGCGAAGAGTTGAGCATACTTTAGTTTTTAAAAGAATTGTGAAAGCTGAGCCAGTTGAGATGTCTATGATGTTGGCTATTGTTTGTGCTGTTAATCATCTGTCCCATTCATTAGTGTACAAACAAAACTAAGATTTTTCTCACAAGTGAATAAGGTTTTCTTCACAAGACTGAAGACTGCTGCTTCAGTCTTCACTTCAGCAACATTTCATGCCTCCTTATAACAAGTTATCCATTTGTAAATGGCTGGTTTATTTGGGGCATTGTTTCCATAAACTTGTTGTAAACCATCAATGATTTCACTATTTCTCTACCAAAGTTTTACTATAAACTTGATGTTAGTTTTTGCTTCAGTTTTACCAGAATTCATATTGCTCCGACAGGGGCTCTTTTTAAACTGATACCTTGCTTTTCTTAGTGCCTCAATCTAGATCTTTTTCACATATATCATAACAAGTTAGTTCAAGTTTATTTTGAAAAAGTGTAAAATTCATGCATAGGTTTTCGTAACATTCATTTTCCAACAGCTTTTTGAAGATCCCTTATATATGTTTTGGCTCAATTAAAAAAATAAATATTTCAAGTTGTGTGTCTCAAATTATGAAATAAATGCATAGAACACAGAATAATTTGTTCAACGAAGTCAGTATGATCATAGCAACAATGGAAAAATAATTTTGAAATAGAAAGGAGAAAACAGAAAAGTGAACAACTGCAAATATGTTGGAATGTAGTTCAGTTTTAATTTAAAAGGTGGATAAAGGCGTTCAAATGAGGAGGCTTCTTATATGCAGAAAATTAGAAACAAAAGATGTTTAGGAGAGGGGAAAAGAGGAAGAATAATAAGAAGAAAAAGGAGGATAAAGAGAAAGAATGGGGAGAGGAGGAGAAGAAAAAGCCAGGAAGGAGGGAAGAGAGAGAGGGGCAGAGAGAGACAGTGAGAGAGAAGAATACAGATAATTTCTGAAGAGCACAAACAATGCTTGACAGCAGTTGTTTCTATGGAGTAAAGTTGGGAATTAATGAGAGGAAGAGTTGTATTCTTCTGTTCTACTTTTTTTTTTTTTTTTTTTTTTTTTTTTTTTTTTGCTGTTTCATAATTTTAGAAACCCAGCTTCAAATGATAGAAATTTCCTCAGAAATTTGACTAAGAGGTCAGGTGCAGTGGCTCATGCCTGTAATCCCAGCACTTTGGGAAGCCAAGGCAGGCAGATCACTTGAGGCCAGGAGTTCAAGACCAGCTTGGCCAACATGGTAAAACCCTGTCTGTACTAAAAATACAAAAAGAAAAAAAAATTAGATGGGCACAGTGGCATGAGCCTGTAATTCCAGCTCCTCGGGAGGCTGAGACAGGAGAATCGCTTGAACCCAGAAGGCGGGTGTTGCAGTGAGCTGAGTCTCACTCTGTCACCCAGGCTAGATTGCAGTGGCACGATCTGGGCTCACTGCAACCTCTGCATCCTGGGTTCAAGCGATTCTCCTGCCTCAGCCTCCTGAGTAGCTGGGATTACAGGCACACGCCACCATGCCCGGCTAATTTGTTTATTTTTAGTAGAGACGGGGTTTCACCATGTTGGCCAGGCTGGTCTTGAACTCCTGACCTTAAGTAATCCACACGCCTACGCCTCCAAAAATGCTGGGATTACAGGCATGAGCCACCACACCTGGCTATATGTGGGTATTTTCTATTTGTATTTATATTTAAGATCTATGGAATACTAAGTACAGGGGAAACAAATTAGGTAAGGAATTTTATTTCTTCACTGAGCCAGTAAAATGCTATCACCCTCCATGTGTCACACTATGATAGGTGCTGGAGAGAAAACAAAGGCTAATCTAAGGTTTCCTATGGTAAAGGGATTACACTCATGTTGGGAGGAGAATTATCTCAGTGTTTTTATATGTTTTCATTAGGGCCCTGTCTGATTCACTCAGCTGTTCAGCTCACATTTCTCAGTTTCCAAATACTTGGTTTCTGATGCTCAGTATCTGAAGAATTGCTTGAGGAAAACGCTATAAGTAAAGCAAAACCCATAAAATTGTGACTTATAAAAAGTAGATAAAGTGTACATTTTATACTGTATGTAATATATAAAGTAAATAAAAGCAAATCATACAAACCCAAAATAATTGCACAATCCACAAATTTTCATCAAACAATAAAGTCAGGGTATTTTCCCTCCTGTGATGTTTTTGGAGCCTGACATCCAAAAGTTGCTAAGTTGAAGATATCTGAAAACAATGCTTCCATGTGCTGTCAACATCCAAATTTTCTTCAGTGTGATCAAGGGTACACACATTTGCTACAAAGGAAATTTAACTAAGGAAGATAAACCAAAGTGAAACTTCTAAGAATAAAGTGTTTTTAAAAATTTATTATTCAACATCCATTGTGCCCTCTCATAGCACCTTTCTTCCCTTAAACTTCAAGAAGATTATAACTT